>NC_000002.12:21146119-21297634 GCF_000001405.40 Homo sapiens | reverse complement strand
GTACAGGCGGGCGTTTTGCTTAAAAATTCTGAAACAACTTTTGAAAACATCACATTAAGGAGATATTTGGGCTGCAATTGCTTTTTAAAATTTTATTTAAATAGCCATTCGATTAAAAGATCAAACTCTAGATATCTTAAGGTGAATTGAAATCAAGGAGGATTTTTCGGGGTGCATGAAAATCCAGGGGCTCAGGGCCAGATCTTTGACCTCTTCCCACAGTTCCTGTCTAGAAGACAGGGCAGGGCATCAGCTCAGAAGCACGTTGTCACAGTCCCTGCTCTACAATTCCATAACCCAGGAAGGTGAGGAGACATCATTTGGGGAACGATGGGCAGAGTCAGCATGTCTCATTATCTATCCTGGACAGAACCTCAGGCTCCCAGGGGCCTTTTGTTTTACACAAGTTGTTCAGGAAACACACCCCAGTGCTGTATGAATGTCATTCTTCAAACAGAAGAGTGAAAGCTCCAAAGAGGCAGACCTCTGGCCTTGAAAAATTAAGCCCTTCCAGTGGCTTTGGCTTAATTGTGAAGTTTAGGATAAGCTTATCCTGGGCTTCCTTCAATCATTCTTTCTGCCTCTTTTGCTTCCTCAGTCTCTATAAGGGACATAAGTTTATTTTGACCATTTGACATCCTTTCTCTTTTTCTGGAAACAATGCCTCCCTTCTTTAGAATTGTTTCTCCCCGACTCCAGGCTGCTCTGAGGGGGCTGTCAACCACAATGTTTTCCCACTCTCCATATGCCAGCCACAGGAGAGTCTCACAACACAGGCATCACCCAAAGTGGTAACCCCATCCCTTAAGCCACAGTGAGAGGCTCCGGGATGATGTTATAACCCAAGCCACCCCAGTCAGGAGCTTTCCTTCAGGTTTTATATTTGAGTGTCTCTTATTAAATGAGTTAAGAGCTTGGACGATAGAAGCCTGAAGCTGACTCTAGTCCTGTCTCCTGCCCCTATGGTCACAGGGTAGAAGCCTGTCTACAGTTGAAAAGAGTCCTGACTGGTAACTCCTTTTCTGTCTCCTCTTGCCCTGTTCCTATCTGGTACTTCTTTCCTTCAGAGCTTTCCTCTCAAATCACTGTCAGCTAATCCCCACCAGGTTTACCTAATTATTTGTAAATGTTAGTTGCCCTAGCTACAGTCAGCTACAGGCCCACACCAAGAAGAAGTACATATATCCAAAGAGGGTGAAATGGTAGAGTGATTAGAAAACAAGTAATTAAAGAGCTAATCCCAAGTATACAGTGGATGCTCATCTTCAAGAGCGGAAGACTCTGCAAGACGGGAAAGGTAACTGGGAATCTCTTCAGCTCCATCATGTTCTACTAGGTTCAGAAAATAGAAGAGACCAATGTATGGAAAGTTAAAAAATACAGACTTTTTAACAATATAGGTGGAGATTTTTAGGAGTCTGATAATCCTAAATTAGAAAGTTCTCCCATGAAGGATGAGACCCCTGTTGACAGAAGTATTCAACTTCTAAGCAAGGATATTTCTTAAGAAATTTACACAACGGGGTATAAGAATAAATCACCAGCAATGGATTCTAAAATTCTAGGAAGAATCAAAGCAATGGCTCAAAGAGTGGTATGAAGCTACATGACACATTTTATAAACACCCCTACCCATCCTAGTGAAAGCAGAGAGCAACAATGGGCACCCATTCCTTATAAGGAGGCTGCTTAGACTCTAGATTCTTGAGGCTCCCTGGTGCCTATCTGTGTGCAGGAAGGAAGTCTAGCTGGAGATGCTGAACATGTTGGGCTGAGCATGCTTAGGGGCAAGTAGCTCAAAGTGCAGTAGAGAGAGAACACCACTAGGTCAGTCCCTAAAAGCCACCTTGGCTCAGACCCATGAATAAATAACCAGGGCAATGGTATGTTGTTAGGTAACCTAAAAAAAAAAAAAAAAAGAAATTCCTCCCCTGAAACTGCTGTTCTACTCATTATCGATGCCTGAAGTTCTAGCATAGAGCCTTCACAAGCCTTTGAACACCATTGAGAGTCAAACAAAGAGATAGAGCAAGAGATCCTGAAATGGAATCATAAACACCTTAGTTGAAGAATTATAGAGCAGAAGAGCTTGGCAGGGTAGGAATAGCATTTCTTCTTCTCCACACCACTGATCTAGCTCAGGCCTCAGTGTATCTTAGTAAAATTCTGCGTCAGCCGCCTAACTAATTCCTCAGCATTTCCTCCTCCAAATTGCAGCCACAGTGAGCAATATTTCAAAAATGCAGACCTGACTAGATTTCCCAGCACCACTTAAAACCCTCCAATGCTCCCCTCATTGACTTCAGATCAAAGTCTTTGATAGTTAGCACCATCTAGAAGTTCCTCAATGATTTAGCGCTAACTCTCCACCCTCAATTCCGACCCTTCTTGCCTCACATTGAGTTTCCATGGAAATCCCAATACACCCATGCACTCCTTGTTGTTTCTCATCTCTGTATCTTAGTTTGAGTTGTTGCTTCTACCCAAAACATCTTTCTAAGCTTGTTTATATTAATAATTTATAATTAGTGTTCAAGAGTAAGCTCATACTCTTGGTTTTCATACTCTTTCTCCTCCCACAAAAGCCCCGTAGCTTCACCAAGGGGCAAAGTGTGATGGATCCAGAGGCAGGGTGAAAGAATAGTAGGAAAAGGGCATTGACAATATTAAGTGCTTCTTATGCATCGGGCACACCATAGGCCCTCTATGTTTAACTCTTACCAATCACATAGCCATAATCTAAACCACTTAAGTGTCAGGCCCTCTCAGAGTCCATGTCCCAACTTGGGGGCTATTAGAAATACGTCCTCTTAGGAGAAAGACTCGTTTGAGATTTTAGAAGCTACCTTGTTCTCCAGAGTTCCCAGCATTTGCAGAAGGCCAAAACCACTCCAGCACAGTAGATGGAAGCCATCATCAAGAGGCTGATTGGCAGCCACCAAGGAAGCCAGCTGCTCTGAGAATGGAAGCCAGAGAACACAGCATACTGAAGTGCTGTTCTCACTCCCATTTAATGAACTTTGGCAGAGCTGCATCCAGCAGCACTGACTACACCTAAGTATGGCAATGCCCTGAGCAGGACAGCCCCAAGTGAAGAAACACACCATAAGGTTCATGCTTATGTGAGTCAGTCTTGAACTGATAACATAAACTAGCTGATAACATAAACTAGTGAATTATAAAAGTCAAGAAATAAAAAAAAAGAATAAATAAAAGTATTTCTTTGCTCATGCCATGAGTGTAATTGAGCATCTGTTTTGTGCTTAGAGCTGGGGGCTGGGTAGGAAGCCATGCAAGGTTATTGCAGCTACAGTATCCCAGCTCCTTAGGAGCCAAGCCAACAATGGAGGTAGAAGTAACATTATACTTATTGTGTCCACAAGGCCATGGATCAATGAAACCCAAAACAATGATAAAAGCAAGCCCTTCTCCTTGACCAGGGCTCTTCTTGGATGCATGGGTGCTGGCTTTCCCTGCAAAACAGAAGGATTAGGGAGGGGTCCACTACTGGCCAGTCAAAATGACTTCTTTAGAGTTCTTAGGAGAGAAAAATTAGAATCTGGTGAGAGATGCCAGGGCCATGGGAGCATTGAAA
Source organism: Homo sapiens (assembly GCF_000001405.40). NCBI lineage: Eukaryota > Metazoa > Chordata > Mammalia > Primates > Hominidae > Homo > Homo sapiens. The sequence goes on along the minus strand of NC_000002.12, from coordinate 21,294,039 downwards.
AAAAGCAGGATTACTTTGATGAAATCTGGAGATTAATTGTTTTTTTCTACAGAGAAAAAAGAAATGCATCAATGCTTGGTTTGTATAAACCAGGATCCACTGCATGCCTTCCTTAGATGCTGATGGGGACCCAAATATAAAACATAGATTGATTATTGAGGCATTTTTATTATGCTTTAACTGTATACCTTTTAAACCAAGCCTTCTTTAAAATTCAATACATGTAATTTTTTAAAATGAAAGGCCTTTCATAAGATGAACTCAGGTTAAACCAGGTTCTTAGAGTCATTGCAATCACTGTCATAAGGATGAATTAAGAAGGTTGTTCTGGTCTCCAATGTAATAACACTTTTGACTGCCTCGTAAATTGTGTGATATATGGTAATTTGGCAACCAGTATTTGATTGGCTTGCTCCTCCAACCCTTTCTCATAAATTAATGTCATCATGAACATAGACAAGTTCTTTCCTACTTTCTCTGGTTCCTTTTAAAATAGCTATTAACCCTAGCAAGACAATATTAATTTAACAACAAAAAAATGGCAATGTAAAGACTCAGGAATATATCTAATAATCCATGTGACTAGTTGCAAACAGAAAATACCTGTTTTCTTCTCAAATAATCAAAAGGCAAGTTTTTAGTATGCTTTCCATACACTAGGCTCCGTGGAGGTTTATAATTACATGGAGCCTAGCCCAAGCTCTGCTAAGACTTCACATCTAGTTGGGGAGACAAATACCTTGTGGGAAAGAATTCCACAGATTTCAAGGTTTTAATGGATATTCTCTAGTTAGTCTAGTTAGGGAGACAGACAGTTAAACAGCATCTTTAACACTCTGCTGTGACTAGGGAGTAAGAGTGATACAGGAAGACATCAGAGAGCACCAAGTCCAGACCGTGAGGTCAGAGAAAGCATCTCAGAAGTTATATGTAACCTGAGATAGAGCAGAGGAGTAGCCAGGCAAAAATGTGTGAATCAGGTTGAGGGCAAAAGCTGCGTGTTCTTGGAGGTGAAGAAAAATGAAAGTGGGAATGAACATTGTTTATCTGAAGAAATGAATGAGGTTTAGAAGGGACAAAGCATAAAGGGCAAGGAAAACTGTGAGAGATATGGCTAGAGAGGTGCAAAATAGTCACGGAAAGAAAAATCACACAAACCATTTGTTTAGATTTTATCCTAAGCTCAATTTCTGAGCAGAAGTTCATGATGTGATTTGCAATTTTTAAGGCTTGCTCTCACCATGGTAGTGAGAATTGGTTTGGGTTGGGGAAACCTGGATGTTTGGAGATAAATTTTAAGAAAGTTGCTACGGTAATATGATGAGACATGATGGTCACTTAGACTTGGGAAAATACAGGGGAAATTGCGAGAAATTCTTAGATTTGGGGTGTATTTTGGAGGTAGTGCAGTAGGATTAGATGATTGATGTATGTGACAACCGATGGAGAAAAAAGGGTAAGTGACGATACTCCTATTTCTAGCTTGGACAAATGTGTGTAGGAGGGTCATTGACTGGGATGAGAGCACTGGAGGGGGTTCATATTCATGAGGGAGATTAGATCAGTTCTGGCTGTATCGAAGATGAGAATTTCTCTGTAGAATTCCCCACTGGAGATATTGGTAGGCAGTGAGATTTACGGATCCAAAGCACAAGAAAGATCTGGGATCCCAGGACAACCTGCTTTTCAAAAGCACTGTCTAGAAGGAGCAAGGTGCACTAAGGCCGTGTGTTTTCAGAGGCTTGAGACATGGAAACGGTGTGATGTCAAAAAGAGGAAATGTTCACATGCAGCTGTGGGAATCCGAAACAGCCTCATGGAGGTGATATTTGATTTAAGACCTTGAAAGATGGTAGGATTTCAGTGAGTTGTTAGAGAAAAAAGTAGGCTGTTTCAGGCTGGGATACCTAAGCAAAAGCACAGAGTGAGAAAAATGAATGACACTACAGGGAATTATGAATATTTCATTTGGCTGTGGTTTAAGGTCTGTTTGTGGGTGAAGAGTGGGAAACGTGGCTAAAAAGATGATTGAGGCAATACTACAGAGAGAATTGACTGAAAGGCCGGAAGACTGGACTCTATTCTCTAAGTGATATGGATTATTTGGAGGCATTTGAACTGAGAAATGAAGGTCTTCATGAATTTCACAGACCACATCTCATCTTTCTGAGCCTTTACAAAGAAAGTGGCACTAGAGAGGCACCAGTATAAACTGGAAAGATTTTGAACTCAAAGAGCTCTGTGTTATAATCCTAGCTTTGGCACTCAGAAGCTATTGAAGCTGTGTGACCCAATTAGTTCCTGTCTCCTTGGGTATAAAGTAGGCAGTGTGATACCCAGTTCTCATGGCTGCTGTGGAATGTGAAGATCATAGGCTTAAGGAGCCTGGTGCATAGGAGACAATTAATACAAAAAGAACGATTGTTGTTGGAATGTGGTGGTTGTAGTAGGTGTAGTTCTGTTGTCACCTGCTCCTAGGCCAGGCTGGCCCCTCAGAAGTATGATGTAGTAATAAAAGCAGGCATTTCAGCTGGGAGAGGGCTGGAGAGAATCAGATTTCTTCTCAAAACAAATGCAACACAACCACTTCCTGGTAGACAGGAGAGAAGTCCTGAACTAGGAGTTTCCATTGCTCATCAGCCCAGGCTCACACATTTTCACATGTCCCATAAACAACAGAAAAGGGCCTACAAATGAGTGCCTGGGGCCCCACCATCTAAGTAACTGTCAAAGGCATGGTTTCCAGGGAACCCTGAATCTGAATTTGGGGATGCGCCCAGAAGTGGATATTTAAATAAAGCACCCGGACTTTTTCTCCCAGGCCCATAATGGTGTCATCAAATTGAACACATGGTCAGGTGCGGTGGCTCATGCCTGTAATCCCAGCACTTTGGGAGGCCGAGGCAGGCAGATCACCTGAGGTTGGGAGTTCGAGATCAGCCTGACCAACATGGAGAAACTCCATCTCTACTAAAAATAAAAATAATAATAATAAAAAAATTAGCCAGGCATGGGAGCACATGCTTGTAATCCCAGTTACTTGGGAGGCTGAGGCAGGAGAATTGCTTGAACCTGGAAGGCGGAGGTTGTGGTAAGCCAAGATTGCGCCATTGCACTCCAGTCTAGGCAACAAGAGTGAAACTCCGTCCAAAAAAAAAAAAAAAATTGAACACATAAGACCAAGGGAGCAACTATTTTCCACATATCAAATATTCTATGTAGCCTGCCCACAGGGGTCTATGAGTCAAGTCTCATCGAGTACACCCTGTTAGAGAAAGCCTGGCACAGTAGGAATTTGTGAGTGGCATTTTATTTCTTAGTGGTCAATAATAAACTCTTCTTTTTGAGAGCTTGAGAATAAAGAAAGTTCCTACTCAGACCTAGGGTTTAAGAGCATTTGAGAACTGAGCATAGTAAAATAGGATATTCCAGCAAGAAGAATCTTATCTTCAGAATAGGCAAGGGAAAGAGAAGCCACTGGAAGCATTACACATTAATTGTCAGGGTCTATGTAGCTTCGAGATGTTACACTACCTGCAAGCTAACAAGTTAACTTGCCACCATTTCATGGCTGCTTTCTTGAGTCAGAGAAAAAAGCCGTTTTTTACTCACAACAAAATCAGTAGCCAGAGCATCATCACGGTCACCGAGCCCCAATTACCTCAGGGCCAGCACAGGTGAATCTGGATGAATGCACACAAAGTGAGATGCATCAGAAGAGAAAAATACTAACCCTGGGAATGCGTCACTTTACAGCAGTGTGTAAGAAAGCCTGCTCTCTTTCTTGGAGGAGACATTACCTCATCCTTCAAGGATGCTTGCTGCAAATAAATTTTGAGAAACGGCCTAGATAAAGAGTGGTCAGGGCCTTGTAATCTTGGCATACTCTGCAAGATGTAGAGGAGTGCAAGAAACCAGTAAAAGAGTGTCTCCTAACACTAAGCCCTACCCCACCAGGGCTGGCCTCCAGCTGTGTAACTCAGCATCCCAATTCATTCTCTCTCCTTTCAGTTTTTCTCGGAAAACTAAGGGAGACCCTTAAGACTCATTAGTGTGATGCCATTCTGAAGGTGCCTATATGTAATCAATCCCCTTAATAAATACCTAATGACTATTTTATTATTACCAAGGGTCAACACACACCCCTGCCCCTACCCCCACACAAACACAGAGAGAGAGAATTAAATGATTGAGAAAGAAATGATTGAGCTCCTTTTCAGAGCTGTCCCTGGCTTTATAATGCTGAAATCAAAATATTCCAGCCCTGGGGAATTCTCGAGGAGTTCACAATTTGCCACATAAATCAGAGTAATACGGTAAATTGTGATATGCACAGTGACACATGTGGAGTTCGATTAAGTCTTTTGTTCTCCCTGGGGAAAGGAAGAAAGGTTTCTTTACATGATATAGCCATATGAAATTATCTGGTTTTTTTTTTTTTAATATTGCACATCTTAAAGTCATATCTGGGATTGTTTTGTGAAAAGTGAACTGATGAATAATTTAGAATAGTATCTTAGCACCTCTCCCTGCATATAAAAAATGTAATCTGACTTAATTGTATGTTGCCATGATAACATTAAGAAAGTCCCCAAGGGGTAACTGGGACATGCCCAGCTTAATGAAAAGTCAAAGGACATTACTTGAATTTCTATGAACTCCGTTTTCATGCTTGCACTGCATGTTTTTCAGAATGTGGCAGTGGCCTCCCTCTCCTGAGAGCGTGGAGTACACAGCAGTGTCTGTGGTGACTCGCCTTTGCTTAAAGAGCTAATTAACTGCTTATCATGATTTTCTCATTTGGAAATCAAGAGGCTTATGGAAATGCTTTGGAACCACAAGTTAGGATTCATGCAACTTCATTACTCATTGAAGTTGGAACTCTTTTAGTCGTTTTTTGGGGTTTTATTTCTTTTTTTTTTTTTGGTCTTTTTTTTTTTTCTTTCCTGATGCATCTGTAACACTCCAAGCCATCCCAGGCTTGAAACTGTGTGCCTACAGAACAACAAAGCGAGTGCCTGGAGGGAGAAAACATTCAGCAGAAGCCAGAACTACCAAGGCAAAAGATGTCTGTATTCACATGAAGACAAACTCCACTCAGGGCTGGCCAGAGCATCGAAGGATTAGGTCACCTTATATTTATAGGCAGAGAACTAGAAACTGTACAAGTCAGTCAGAGTCAACAAAAACTAGGCAAGAATTGGGGACTAGGAAGGGTCAGATGGTTCACATCAGGGTTCAACGAACGAAGACAGGAGCAAGAGAGATGGTCAGAGAGAACTTAAGCAATGGAAAACTCATGGCCACTGATGGTCCCAAAACAGCCCCAAGGTTCTCCCCAAGGAGAGCAAAAGACTTAAGATATGTGGGCGTTTTGTAACCCTCCCTCCTTTCTCAGTGGCTAAGCCTGTGTTTTACACAATAATTGTCATTTGTTGAATACATGTAAAACTTAAAGGCTATTCAACACACCTTTGATGCCTCCCCCTCCCCTCCCCTCCCACTCCACACACATTCCAGCCTTGCCTCCTGGGTCCTGCCTACAGCCCTTTGTTCACTCTGTTCCCTCCTCCTGGAATCCTTCCCCTTTCCCTGCTCTCTCCTCCTCTCTGCCCATCTAGATATCTCTTCTTCAAGGCGCAGCTCAATTGCTAGCTCCCCTAAGAAGACTTTCTCAATTTCTGACTGCCTTTTTCTTCATCAGAATTCCTTATTTCCTCATCTCTGCTCTCATGACACTTAGTTTCTATTTGTATTGTAAGATTTATTGCACTTTCTGCACTGTTTGGGGTATGTGTGTATGGTTTCTCTGTAGCTCACTAGGGTGAGATTATTCCTTGAGGACAAGATCCATGTCTTTGTTTTTTTTTTTTTTCCTGTTTCTATATGACTGAGAACAGTGCTTTAAACTTAGCACATGCCTCATAAATTTATGCTAAATATCAGGCTGAATTTAAGGTAAACACTGACCATCTTGGAATGGAGGCATCCCTCTGAATTTCCCAGAAACCTGCAATGTTGGAATCCACAGGGAAAGTTGTGCTCCGCAGCCTGAAAGCTCACTGGGGTTGCCGAAAGAGCTAAGGACAGCAGCAGAACCCCTTTGTGTTGGTCACACTGCGAGGAATGTGTTACAGGCAAGAAAGGAGGAAGGTATGAGAAACTCAGGTACCAGCCTCCAAGGCCCGCCCTGTCTCTGGCTGCAGCTCATCGTCTGGCATTTGGCAGTGGGTACAGACCAGACCATTACTGTGATATGCAGTAACACATCTGGCCCAAAGTAAATGCTCATTTTGCTTCTTAAATGTCATAATGTTTGTTTTCACTTGAGCTGCCTCTTCTTGAATCGTGGCACTTAAATCTCCAAACCTTTCCAGGTGGTGGTCACAATAAGTCCCTGCTTAGAGTCTCCACAAATGACAGATGTGTTCACAAGTGCGTAGTTAAGACGAAATAAACAAATGGTATCACGCTACCCAACTGCTCAAAAGACCCATAGCTTCCCCCAAATCCAGGTGGCCCTTGAGATATAGGTCTGCCTGGTTCACGGACCTTCTTTTTTTTTTTTTTTTTTTTTTTTTGAGGCGGAGTCTCGCTCTGTCGCCCAGGGTGGAGTGCAGTGGCGCGATCTCGGCTCACTGCAAGCTCCGCCTCCCGGGTTCATGCCATTCTCCTGCCTCAGCCTCCTGAGTAGCTGGGACTACAGGCGCCCGCCACCGTGCCCGGCTTTTTTTTTTTTTTTTTGTATTTTCAGTAGAGACGGGGTTTCACCGTGTTAGCCAGGATGGTCTCGATCTCCTAACTTCGTGATCCACCCGCCTCGGCCTCCCAAAGTGCTGGGATTACAGGTGTGAGCCACCGCGCCCGGCCAAGAGTACTATTTTTATAAAGTAAAGAAGGTCCAGCAGGGTGCGGTGGATCACACCTGTAATCCCAGCACTTTGGGAGGCCGAGGCGGGTGGATCACGAAGTTAGGAGATCAAGACCATCCTGGCTAACACGGTGAAACCCTGTCTCCACTAAAAATACAAAAAAAAAAAAAAATTTTTTTTTTGAGAGAGATGCTGAGGCCAGACCTTTCACCAGCAAATGTTAGGAAGGAAGACAGGGCTCAGGGGTTAGAGTGTATTTGAAGGTCATGGCCCTGGATGGACCAGACAGGCAGACAAGCATCTTCCTTGGGTCTGCATGTATTCTGTAGCACAGAGTAATGGAGAGTTGGTTCCCTGAAGCCAGCCTGTCACATTAGGAGCCAACTGCTGTCCATGACACCCGGTGACAGAAACAGTCTTAAGCGAAAGGCACAGCAGGTAAGTGTAAGGTGACTCATGTTGTTGTTAGCTCTCCACCAGAGTTAGAACATCCCCAGCAGCCAGGAACCAGCATTGTGTCCAGTGACAAGGTGCTTCTTCATTACAGGGTTAGTGACCTCAAGGAAAGATCCAAATGATGGCCCAGCCCTTGAACACCATTGTTTTTCCAATAACTCAGAAGCATTTTGACCATGACAAGCCTTTTGAGAAGCCCATGCCCATAATGGGTCCATCTTCCTTGGACAACTACAGCCAGCAGGAAGCCTCACAGTGCACTATCCACTGTGGCCATCTACACCACCTCCCTGGCTATTTTAGGGCTATCCAGCTCCAGATAAAGGAAAACTCTAATATCGCTCTGATTCATGATCTTCCATCTATCTCACAACTAATGGGCTAATGCTTTTCAATAATTCCCAACTATTTAGAAGATGCCCACTTCTAAATAGTTTTCCTCAAATACTAGTGGACCTCCTCCCAATTGTGGTCTGCTTGCACAAGTGACCAGTCTAGGATAACATATCTCTCCACCCATCCCCTCTGTCATCTGTGGAACCAGCAGTGAAAAAACACTGGGGAGAGCCCTGACCCTGTGGGAATTCCAGGTCGAGGACCTGGTTTTATCCCCTCTCGCTGATGAGTTAAATTCTTTGGTTCCTTCTTTAATCCATTTCTACTCAACTCTGACTAATTTTATCACAAGATTTTCTCTGCGGCTTTATAAAGCTAAATGTTTTCTTAAACCTACATGTTGAAAGGTATTCCCAATGGTGCCAATTCAAAGGTGTTTGGCAGAACATTTTAAAAAAATATATCCATCTACCTTTTTTTATCATTTCACAGGTTTTCTCTTGGCTTCTGAACTTTCTTTACTATTAATATAGGTCCCATTATTAAGTCAAAAACTACAATGTGCCTCCTTTCCTGGATAAGAGGAGTAGAAAAGAGAGAGAAGCAAATATCAAAACTGACAAATTGAAATTTCGAAAGGATTTGAGTTCATGGTAAGATCAAAGTAGGCCCCTTTATAGTCACATAAGAAACTGAGGAATTAGATACCTTTGGATAGGCAAATACTATCTTTGTGAGTTCGTGACAGGCAATGACAAATAATAAATAGCCTTCTCTGGTGGCAGATACAAAGTCTTCATTTCTACCTAGCATCCAAATTTGAACATAAATGTGAGTACTGAATATTAGAGACACCAAAGCTAAATGCTTTGAGTGACAAGTCATAATAATAATAATAAAATCAAATAATATTACTATGTGTTTACTTATATAATCATTACAACAATTTTATAAAATGGATCTCATTTAACTCATTTTCCAGATGAGGAAACAGTCCATAAGGATTAAGTAGGTTTCGCAAATTTACACAGCAGTACAGTGGCCCAAAGTTCTGATGTCCAGAGCCTTCCTTCCATTCCAGTACACCATCTTATCTCTTCTTCAGTGTCTCCTTGACCAACAATCAAATCTTCCATCTAAATAGTCCTTGGCAATAGCTCAGCCTCTCAAAAGGCCAAGTGTAGACTGCTGTTTGGAAGAGGAGAGTGCTTTTGATCCCAAGTGTACATGTCCATTCATGGGTCTTTATGTTTGAAAAGTTCTGACAACATCACTAGTCTGACTCTAATTTGATTTGTTTTCTAAGTAATGGTAGAATCAAGGTCTGCTCCCCAGAAACTGTTTAGCCATGGAGTCAAAAATCCCTTGTTTCAGTTACTTTTAGGATAGCTCTGAACGCAGCAGCCAACACATAACCTCTAAGACAGATGTTAGAAGAGTTCAGCGGTCTGCGCTCACCAAGCTAATGAAGGTGGAGTTCAGTTTGAAGCTTGTATGGAAAGTGATGGAGTGTTAAGTCAAGGGCACTGCTTTGTAGTGACACAGATCCACGTGTAAATCTGGGTGCCCTCCCTGATGAGTTGCATGAAGTCAATCATGGCTCTTCCCCTCCTCTGTACCTCAGTTTCCCTTATCTGTAAAATAATGAAAATAATATATTTCTTTTAGGGTGAACCTGAGGATTAAATAAGATAACATGTGTAATATAGTGGGCACATACAAGGCTTCAATAAATATTGATACATGTTACTTCTTTTTTTTTTTTTTTTTTTGAGACAGAATCTTGCTCTGTCTCCAGGCTGGAGTGCAGTGGCACGATCTCAGCTCACCACAACCTCCATCTCCTGGGTTCAAGCGATTCTCCTGCCTCAGCCTCCCAGGTAGTTGGGATTACAGGCACCTGCCACCACGCCCGACTAATTTTTGGTATTTTTAGTAGAGACGGGGTTTCACCATGTTGGCCAGGCTGGTCTCAAACTCCTGACCTCGTGATCCGCCTGCCTCAGCCTCCCAAAGCGCTGGGATTACAGGCGTGAGCTACTGTGCCTGGCTGATATCTGTTACTTCTATCCATCTTCCAAAATAAATTTAAAGACAACAACTGACTTCTAACCAAATTAATAATTATAGTATTAAAGTTCAGTTCAAAATAACTTGTATTTTATTCATATTACACTGAAGCAAAATGACAATCCATAACAATTTTTAAATGCCCTGTTTTGTTTTATTGTTTAAAATATTTATCAGATGTCATTCAAATATGGTAGGGGCTGCTACAAGAGGCTCCATGAGTCCCTTTCAGGTCTGCAGGTAGAAGACAATCTGGAAGACTTGTCCAAAGGAGTCTCTTGTCTACCCCAACCCTGGTTCTAGATTTGTGTCAGAGTAGTGAAATTAATTACAGAGTGATAATTAATTATCTGTAATGGAATGAAATGGAATAGAATAAAAAATATCCTAGTACATCCTACATAGTGAGGTGATTGTTTTATGAAATGTTTCATTTTTATAGACATGCATGTACATCTATATATGTATATGTGTACTAGATGTCACTATCAAATATATTTCTTACTTAGAGTCTCAATCTAACACGTTTGAATGCCACCTCTTTGAATGGTACTCCCAAGGCCCCAGTTTCAGGTCTTTCTCAATGGCTAGAAGGTTCTAGAAATTTGAGGATGGCCTGGGTGACGTGTCATGGTAGCACCTTGTGAAGTTGAGTCTGGGGCATGAGAATTGGGCTCAGCTTGCTACTCATGATGTTCTACTCTGTCATCTTAAACTTTGTCCACAGAGTTGGTCCATCCAGAGACAAAGATCAATGGCTACGGGACGGACACATGAAGTTGTCAGAGCAGAGGTGGCATAATTCTATTTGCAAACAGCTGCAGTGTAGGCACAGCCTCTGTTATGTGTTAAGCACTTGTGCTCATTCCATTTTCAGGAGACTCTGCCATTAACTCAATAAAACACACTGTCCCTCCACGGATCTCCAGCTGAGACAGGGCTGAGGGTTGGGGAAAAGAAGAGACAGGGGGAAAGTTTTCTTTGGCATAAATACTAACTTATCCAGTCTCTTGGGATTATTTACTTCCCTTAAATAATGGTCTATTATCTTTCTTTTATATCTTCTTCTTGTACCATAAAGGAGAACAGTTGAACTGTGATTTTATACTTAGAGACTTGATACCGCAGTATCTTCTAACAGTTCTTGTTTTTTTTAATTCCTACTTGTCCTCTTCCACCACTTCTCATTTCAGATATCTATGGCTAAACCATGATATATGTGATTTACCTTTAAATTTAGTTCCAGAAGTAATATATATGCCTACTTTTTAAATATAATTGGATTGATTTTGATTACAGTTGTAAGGAGAAAATTTCAAAGAGACACCATCAGATCAGATAGAGAATGTGTTAATATAATCAGAGCTTCTAAGAAAAAGCAATTTTGACAGATTAGGAATTGTATCTTTGTGTGGCTACTGCCCAAGTTGTCAAACCCCCTTCCCATGGTGACAGCAGCCTCCCTCAAACTTCAGGAATGCCGTCTTCTCATCACATTGTGAAAAGCCAGCCTGGAGCTATATTTGGACCTTTCTGTCAAAGAAGAATAAGAAAGAGGAAGTAAAGCTCCTACTTGAAGTTTGCAGCAACTGTTCATGGTGATATTACTGCAGAGGCTCCATTTTACAGATACAGAAGCTGAGGTATAAAGAGAAAAAAATTACTTAACTTATCCTTCTGAGAAAGGGGTCTCTGTTCATCATGCGAATACTGGCAATGTTGCTGTGTCTCAAATTTGTCTCTATTTCAAAAATCCACCAGTGACTAAAAAGGTCTTAATATTAGCTTGAAATGTGAAATTACTAGTAAGTAAAATCCATCAGAGAGGACTGGGAGCCCATCTCCATAGCTGTGGAAGATGTGGGAAGGCAGATATAGCCTTTCCCAATCTCTGCACAGCCATGAGGGATGCTGGCAAGAAACTAGCCACCAGCCTAGGGAAAAAGAGCAAAGCAGCAGCACTGAGTGAACAAAGCAGATATTTAGTGCTTATAGATAATATCCAACTCCAGCATCAGCGAGAGCTTGGCCGGGGAGGGCATCTCCTAGGAAACCATCAGATAACACTGGGAGAGACAGGCTTTAACATAAAAAGAGCTGCAGGGGAAACAATACACGTTAGCTAGAAATGAACTGTGTTTCATAATGCAGCAGTCATTTTCTGTACAACAAACAGGCCTGCACTGCTCACTTGGTTGCATCTGTGCTCAGAGCAGGGAATCCTATGCTCCCGGCACTCTGGAGGTCAGCACCCCCATCTACCAGGCGAGGCGGGAGAAGCCAGCCTGGCCAGGCCAGACAGAGAGCAGACAACTCACCTTTCCAGTCAGCCCTGGGCACTGGAGGCAACAACAGTGATCATAACATGCAGAAAAAGCATGATACTGGGACGGAGGGACCAGGCTCTAGACCTGCAGGGTGACATGCATGGCAGCATACGTAGTCAACAGAGCCCCAAAGCCCTCCAACCTTCCCTTTCTCCACTGCTCATGACCTCATCTTTCCCCTGTCTCTCCTCCTCCAAACACACAGGAGCACACACACACACACACACACACACACACACATATACATACACACATGCACACATGTACACACATGCATCATACATATGCACATATACATAACAAACACATACACACACATACAGTCATGCCTACTTAACTACAAGGATATGTTCCAAGAAATGCATCATTATGTAATTTCATTGCTATGCAAGCATCACAGAGTATACTTACACAAAGTCACATGGTGTAGCCTACTATACACCTAGGCTGTATGGTGTAGTCTATTGGTCCTATGCAACAAACCAGTACAGCATGTGACCACTGCATACCATAGGCAGTTGTAACACAATGGTAAGTATTGGTGTATCTAAACATACCTACATAGAAAATGCACAGTACAAATGTGGTATTATAATCTTATGGGACAACCATCATATAGATGATTTCTGATTGACCAAAACAGTATTATGCAGCATATGACAGTACATACACACACACACACTCACACTCACAAACACACACGCACACGCTCACTCACACTCACATGCCTTTCAGAGGCCTGCTCCACTTTAAAAAACTACTTCCAGAATTCATTGGGAGGTTATCTCAAAAAAAGTAAGCTCCTTTAAAGATATTCCTTCCTTCATTCGTTCATCTGCCTGTTTGGTCAAGGGAAACATGTGTGGACGTGCCTATCATCTCCTAGGCACATTTCTGGAATGAAGCCTAGGGGAGATGAACATCTCTTGCCAAGCACCAAGTCCCAGGTCAATGCCAGCAGAGCCAGAGGTAGGACCTGGGAACGTTAACCTCTCACTGATAACTGCTTAAACTCTTGGTTGCCTAGCAACAGGTGGTAATAGCACAATCACAAATAAATATACTGCAGAATAATCTCAATGTTGTCATTTAGCTGGGTTTTTAATGGAAAAAAAAAAAGCTTCCTTGGAGAATTGGAGAATTCAAAGGTTGTTTCCATGTTGCTGTTGTTTCCTTGCTGGACGTGGTGCTCCTATCTGGTTAGGGACATGTTTCCATCCAAATGCTTCTCCCTCCCAAAGGTGCCCTTTTGAGAAAACGCATGTAGGCCTGCCTTGGTAATCGAAGACATCAGCCATCATAGCTCTGACCAGCTCACAGGGGCTTCGATCCAACATTTCGGCTCTGTCCTGGTGACCAAAACTTTCTGAAACTCATCTGAGCTCCCTTCAAGACGGAATGGTTTCCGAAGTCAAGAAAGTATGGAACAAAAATTGCCAGGGAATTAAAAAGACAAATCATTGTCATGTCCATTAAAAGGAATATAAGAAGTGTGACTTTTTTTGAAGGAAGAGGTTAGAACCATAGACTCGCATTCTGGTAGGAGGATTTCAGGGTATTCATATTCATTTATTACAGGAGTGGAAAGTGCACGGGTTTAAGATCAGACAGATCTAGCCGAATCCTAGACTTGTCACTTAAAGTCTACAAATCAAGCCTCAGCTTAATCCATAATTCAAAAAAAGAAAATCATCCTGAAAGCTATCCCACCAAACTGTTGTAAGGATTAAGTGAGCTAAGTAAGAGAACATGCCAATTCCAGTCAGGACGTATAGTACGTGTTTAATAAGCACCCCGTCTACCGCCTTGCTTTCTACTGGACAGAAATGGCAATGCCCTTGGTCCTCTTCCAGTTACAGTAGCTTCAGTTGCTCAAACAGGCTCCTGCTGCATTAAAAGAGAGCTCTAATTCAACCTCCTCACAAATGCAAACTGACTGTTCCATTAGGACACATTAGTAATGCTCCCTGGTACTAACAGTGAAAGAGTCACACTCTACATTTTACAAACTCTTTAAAATACTCTCCTCTCTCAATCTGTCACAGCTACTTCTAACTAGAAATCCCTCCCCTCTCTCCCCTCTCTCTCATGGCCCCCGCTTGTCCACTGTCTCTTTTATTCCATTTCCACCTTCAGCCCTCACCCTGGACACACTGACCTCCCCTTCCCCTCTTCCTGCTAAATTTAGAGGCGAGCTGTCTCCCTGGTGTGAGAGGTCCGGGGGCTGTGGCAGCAGGGTACAGAGCTGATCTGGAGTTGGCTGTCGGCAGTGAGGGAAGGACAAATGTCAGGGAGACCTGCTCCCTGGCCGCCCTCCCTCCAGCCCCAGCACCACTCCTCAGCAGCTTCTCTTGACAGGCAGGGTAAAAGGAGGAGGGCATGGGGGCCTTGAAGTCTGGCTGCCTGTCACCAGAGCTCAAAGAGACCAAGGGCTTGTCAGAGCACAAGTCACTGGGGCTCTTTCCCTTTCCTAATTAATTCAGTTGAGTCTGGAAGGAAAGGAATTGTGATATACCCAGAACTGAGTGGAAAGCACAGCTTACCGGTGCAATGCTGCAGCGTCTTAAATCTTTTCCAAGTGCCAGACCCCCAGCCTTGGCAGGATAAATTTATTCACCCCTCCCAGAGCAGCATCCCCTGGGCAGCTGACCCTGAGGTGGCCATCTAAAGATCCGTTCCTGTCCAGGCATGGTGGCTCACGCCTGTAATCCTAGCACTTTGAGAGGCCAAGGCAGGTGGATCACCTGAGCTCAGGAGTTTCAGACCAGCTTGGTCAACATGGTGAAACCCCACCTCTACTAAAAATACAAAAATTAGTTAGGCATGGTGGCACATGCCTATAATCCCAGCTACTTGGGAGGCTGAGGCAGGAGAATCGCTTGAACCTTAGAGGCCAAGGTTGCAGTGAGCCGAGATTGCACCACTGCACTCCGGCCTGGGTGATAGAGCGCGACTCCATCCCAAAAAATAAAAAAATAAAATATAATAAAAAAAAATCCATTCTCCTCTCTTGATCCTTGGTCCATGTGCTGGCCAATGTCAGAAATCCTGTCCCCAGAGCTTTCTCCCTTCCTCTGGGCTGTACTTCTCCCCATCCTTCAAGTCTGCCTTAAAGCACCAGTCTTTAAAACGGAATGGGTGAATTTCATGCCTTTTCTGAGAACATGTTTGGAAAAGCACAAATCCTCTGAAGATGAAAAGAGGTGTTGGAAGAATTGCCAGAAGAAAGAGGAGACCCCAAAGGCAAATGTCCTTAACTCACCATTTAGCCCATTCTCCACCTTAGATCACTGTTCTGATTCTGAAGTTGTAATGTAACTAACCTTATTAAGTCCCTGCTGTGCAACTTGCATAGCTGCGCTCACCTATGCTCTGTCCTATAATCTCTCTCCAAGGAGGGGCCAGCAAGAACAACCCACACTCTCTCGTCACCCAGGCCCACATACTTCGAGTCTTCTTAAAGAATACATAGAAAGGCAGAAAGCAGAAGGAGGCATCAGGAATAGCTTCATTTGCAGTTCTGGAATGGCATCAGGTCA
The DNA here is from genome assembly GCF_000001405.40 of Homo sapiens. Classification (NCBI taxonomy): domain Eukaryota; kingdom Metazoa; phylum Chordata; class Mammalia; order Primates; family Hominidae; genus Homo; species Homo sapiens. The sequence goes on along the minus strand of NC_000002.12, from coordinate 21,278,439 downwards.
GCACTCAGAAATGGAGGGGAGAGGCTGGAAATGAGAGCGCTCAGGGTTAAAACCAGTGTTGGCTGAAGACACTCTGAAGATGATCACCGAAAGAACTTGTTAAAGTCAAGCACTTGTAGGGAGAACCTGACCTTCCTTTTCCGAAAGACACTTCTTGGATTAGGGTGGCAGCATGTACCCTAGGGTGGCAGTGTAGACAGCATGGGATTAGAATTCAGAAGTCCTGAGTTCTGGTGTCAGCCCACTCTCCAATCAATGAGATGGTTCTAAGTCACTTCATCTCGCTGAGTCTTATTTCTTAGATCTGTAAAAATAGAGGGCAATAGGCACCTGATCTACCTCACAGGAGTGGTGTGAAGCTCAAGGTCACTGGTGGATGGGGAAGAGTTTTGTAACCTGTGATTTAGGAGTTCTGGTCATACAGTTGGTGTCAGTGGCAACACTGACAACACAAAGCTGCATAGAAGTATGTGGAAGGAGAAGTGATCCCTTTAAGTCATAGGTTGCAAGGTAACGTGAGGTTGAGGAGCCAGGTGTGGGTTTGGCGGCTGTAGCTTCATGCTTCATGAGAAATACCAGTACATGGGGCCTGTTGGTCACATTCCTGCCGCTACCCCATGTCATTAACATTCTTATAATCAAACCAGCAGCACAAGGGTGGGGACAATTTGTTCATTCAGTGTGGTGTATCCAGGTCTTTTAAAGAAATACAATATATGCAGGAGATTGTAAATGTCTATGAAATGCTGGGGCAGACAGGTGTTCTATCATTATATAGTATAACAACACATTTCAACATTTTATGACTCTGAATCTGAGCCTCCTTTCTCATTCAATGGCTACCTTTCACTAGTTTGGCCTTAGATGAAGTGTGCAAGGGTGTCATTCTAAGAAAATCAAACACACAGTCATAAAATGGTTGAGTTCAATGTTTGTCCAGGGTCCTCCCCGCCAGGAGCAGATTTCCTGATAACTCTATAACTGTCCAGGAACAGTGGCTGTGTATAGACCTAAAACAATGCAGCCTGATCAGCTATTTTATAATATGTCCAAGTTCGAAGAAATGGGAGCATTCTGCTTGTGCCCGTCTGTTATAAATTACAAGCAATTGCTGCAGCCAAGGCATTCTCTTCAGCCAAAGAGTTTCGGCTAGCAGAGGACCACACGCTTGAACAGAATCCTTAACTGCAGCTGAAGCTCAGGAGCCTGTGACTGGTCTGGCCTCTGTTAACCTCTAAGCTGCAGGCCTCATGTCGAGGAAGAAAGCCAGGCTCTGGGGACTGGAAGTGAGTGAAGAAGTGAACAAATAACTTGGTAACTTCACCTGACAGTGTAGCTTCCTGTGTCTTCCCATTGCATATTTTATTCACAACCTGATATTGTGTATATGTGAAAGCTCCAGTCACTGAAGAACATATAAGTCACCAAAAAGGAGAATCATTCATTAGTTCAACAAATAGTAGTTGAACATCCAGGATATTTCAGAAGCTGTGGCAAGAACTGGGTTTGTAAACATAGAGGGGTGTCTAATTCTTCCCTTATGAGTTACCCACAGACGTATACATAGAATGCATTAACCAGGTCTGATAGCAGAAGAATAAGGAGAAGAGTATGTAGAGGTGACCCTTAGCAGAGGACACTGGCAGGCTGACTCGATTGTGTCACCCTCCGAGGGGCTGCCAGGCCAGCTCTTTCGGCTTGGAGTTGTCCCTCTTTCTGCAGAGTTGGGGGATGATAAGACTCTGCCCAGCTCTCCTAAGGAAGCCACTGTAAGGACTGCAGAGATGGGCACCTACCAGGACTTGTGAGAGCACAGTCTGACTTTATGTCCTCGTGTAGAGCAATGGAAATGAATATTTAAAGGTATGGAGCCATAAAACCGTGGGATATGAGAAAAACATCAGCCTTTGAGACCCGGCTGCTCCATGCTGCTTCGTAATATGCACGTTTATAGCTCCCCAACTGTCTCCTGCTCATTCACAGAAATGCCACACCCGAAAATTGGCATCATGCCCTTCACCCTCAAAGTTTAAAAGTCACGGAGAGCAGTTCTCCTAATTGTAGAGCTAAGTGGAGCGGAGCAAAGGCACAGCTGCTGCCCCCTGGGCCTGCGCGGGCCCCGAGGAGCCAGCCACGCCCCATCTGCCTGTGGCTCAGCACGTGTGAACGTGGGTGCCCAGGGCAGTGAGACAGGATGGGAAGCAGACTTTGGGGTGCGGCGATGGACCTGTCAAAAGGAAACTGGACTTCATGTTTTATTCTTTTGTCAAGTACTTTCCTCATTACAGTACAGTAGTTAAGAAAATATTTCAACTAAAGCTGTAGCTCAGTGTTTTCTTCCAGATTTACATATTAAAATACTAATCTTTGGGGGTGTTTTCATACAGACCCATACTTGCACAGATCTACACACAGACACAGGCACACACGCTCACACATGCGTGCACACTTCTTCTAAATACATGCCACATTTACTTTCATTGACACATCCAGTAAAACTCCAGTTGGTCCTAACTCTTCCCATGCTGTCTGGATCATCAGAACACTAGCATTTCAATGGACAAAGCTCTGAGATGGAGAGCCTCTGTCTCCCGCAGCCTTTCCAGGCCATAGTTGGATCAGGAAAATCAGTGATGCCCACTACTCTGGCTCACATTCTGTGCAGCAGTGGCCCCAGGACTCCCTCTGGGCACTGGCCCCAGGGAGCTCCATCAGGAAGATACCCAGCAGAGTGAAGGTTTGGAGCAGCCTGACCAAATAATAAATCTTTCAGAGGCACAGGCTACAGCAGAGAACTTGACTGCCAGGAAATATCATTTTTCCCCCTGGAGCAGTCAAGCTGAGAACACAGCTCCCGGCTGCTGAAGCAGGTGGACCATTCTCTAACACCAGAGTCCTTCTGGAACACAGGATTCAGAGAGGGAAATGTGGGCCCTGTTGTCTCCAGGTGGGAGAATCAAGGAGGCCCAAAGGCAGGGATTAAAGGGCACAGAGGAGAAGGCTGAGGCTGCCAACCAGAAACCCCTGCTCAAGGAGACCATGACCACCCATGGCTGCTAATTTCAAGCTGCCTGGCAGAAAACAGGAAATCCCTCTGAAGTAGGTGCTGTGCCCCGTGTTCAATTCAGCCGAGATAGGGCGTGCCAGGTACTCAGACCCATGCTCAGCTCCCTGGAGACAGTTTCTGTCCTCCAGAAAACTACAGTCCAGTGGACCAGGCACCCTGATGACAGGATAAAGAATATAAAGAGAGAGACATGAAATTTCAAGATGCATGACCTGGACGGAAACTTGACTTCATCTTCAAAATTCCAACTCTAACTTAGATGCATATTGCTCTTGACTCTGGGGAGTTTTCAGAATAGGATTATTTCAGCAGAATAAGGGTGAGTGCTTCTCCTTGCTCCTGAGATTCCTATTGTTTCTCATAAGGACGCCACAGCCGACAGCTGACTCCAGGGACAGCAGTCCAAGCCAAAGTTCATGCAGGAGCTACGCCAGTTCTGGGCAGAGCCAGCATCCCCCTTAAAGGCTGCGAACTTCCTGTCATGAAAGACTCTGCTGTAATAGTCATCGTTGCCATCATCGTCATCATCATCATCATCATCATCCAGCAATAGCCAGAGGAAGATTATTAAGGACAGACACTCGGTCTTTTTCTCCTCCACACCCTTGACAGAGCCTGACCCAAAGTAATGTTCAACAGGTGTCTATGAGTGAATACATAGAGTGCTTAATGAGAGATATGTAGGGAAATGCAAGTATTCCTAATTTTCCTGTCTTCCAGGATCACCACAGTCTTCTCTATGCAGATAAAAATAATTGAGGACCTCTTCTGTGGCTGTAGAAAGACCATGACTCCCAGAAGGTTCCCCTCTGTTAGGACTACAGATTCCCCTTTGTTAGGACTGCTGTGAGCCCAGGAAAGGCATGTGCTCAGGTCCCCCAGGGGCAGCTCTTCCCTGCTGGTTTCAGAGCAGTGCTTGGAGCCCTTCCCTGCCGACCTCTCATTTGTAAGGTCCCTCCTGTGCCCCATGCTTCTGCTTAGCTTCTCCCAACATGTGGGCACCCTCTCACCTTTTAGTCCCTACATAAGCCTGGCACTTAGCTGTGAAATGTAGAACTTCATGTCCTCTGAGGATAAACCAAGAGGAGACAATGCTGAGAAGGAAGGCCTCCAAGGTGAATATCGGAACACACTGCTTCCAGTGCCAGTCAGCAATGCAATCCCACGGTGGGGAGCAGATCCCTTCAGGCAGCAGCGCCCCTGACTCCTGCACTCAGGAATACACCCTCATGCCCCAACAAGCTGCTGGGCACTCCCAGAGGGCAGTTCTCCGGAGTTCTCTCCTCCCTTTCTCCACAGGTCCAGAGTCTCATATCCTGTCATCCACAACTCTAGGGAGCCCAAGCAAAAATGGTTAAGCTCAAAGTAACCCTCCCAGAGCTTTTGCTCTGGCCACAGGGAGGGCAGACAACCCTTCCATCATCAGGAAGGGCAGTTTGAGGTCCTCTTTCATCACCCTGTTCTTCTCTCCTGCTTTTGTGTGACCAAAGGGCTTACTAATGCCCCTTCAAAGATAGGTTCTACAGCCACCCCAAGATCATTGAACACCTGCGTGTGTTTGTGACATTTTTTGGCTGCATATTTGTCTGGGATCTGCCACACGTGGAAGGGGAGAAAAACCTGGCAGGGTCTTTGCACCCCAAGCATCGCAGTGCCCAGGCTCAGTGACCTTTCTTTGCCACCCACCACCCTTTAGTGTCTGCCCTGCTCTGTGCAGAGGCTCAAGGAGGAGAACTGTCAGAGCAGACGCAGCCAGGAGCAGGGAGGCAGCGGCAAATATCTTCCTGTCACTGACATCTTAATAATCACCAAGTTTTCAAAGAAACTTCCAACCACAAGGAAACTTCCAGACAAAATTGACTTCCAGTGAAATGCATTTACCTCACAGTTCTTCTCCACATGTACTTTATGACAGCATCGTGAGTCTCCTACCTGGAGTTGAAATATTGTCAGCTTGTACGAGTAAAGCAGGATGGAAGTGAGTTTGTATTGAGAAAAAAAAAATGTCAGTCAGGCTCCTAATTGCCTCTGAGCCTGCTAAGGAGGTGCAGGGCCCCCAGCCTGCACCCATGCTACCCTTAGCAGCCGCCGACCTCTCAGAATGGCCAAGTCAGAGGCCACTTCGTGGCCAGAGGGCACAGTCTGCACACTGCACACGTGGCAGTGGGGTGCTCACCAGCAACCCTGACCTCATGACCTCGGTCCTCCTTACTGTACAGCTCCCTTAGGGAGCAGGAGGACCTGCAGAGGATCCCTGTCTGCCCCCTTTAGGAAAAGGTGTGAAGTCATTTACATGTGATTGAGAAGAGTGACGGTTCCTGTGTCCTCTCTCCTTGGGATACGCTTCCCCAGCCTGGACTCTGTTGGCAGCAGCAAGAAGATGGCAGATGGATTTGAGAGGGGAGACCTGTTCCTTTCCTCCTTTGAACCTCTTCTGTTTTTCTGTTTTTCTTTTTTTTTTTTTTTTTGAGATGGAGTCTCACTCTGTTGTCCAGGCTGGGGTGCAATGATGCGATATCGGCTCATGGCAGCCTCCGCCTCCCGGACTCAAGCGATTCAAGTGATTCTTCTGCCTCAGCCTCCCGAGTAGCTGGGATTACAGGCATGTGCCACCATGCCCAGCTAATTTTTGTATTTTTAGTAGAAACAGCGTTTCACCAGGTTGGTCAGGCTGGTCTCAAACTCCTGAGCTCAAGTGATCCACCCGCCTGGGCCTCCCAAATGGCTGGGATTACAGGTGTGAGCCACCGTGCCCAGCCTGAACCTCTTCTTAACCATAGTCTTCCTCTCCCAGGTGTCCGGTCAACTCTTCGTCCTTTCCATAACAAATGCTGCTCATCTTTCAAAGCTCTTCTCCCATCCTCCTTCAGCCACAAACTCATCCCTAACTCTCCCAAGCAATAGAAACGTCTCCCTTGCCTGGCCTGACTCCTGTTGCTCAGACAGAACTAGCCCAGCTGAGGGGCCTGGGAAGGCCTCTGGCTAGAGAGGACCCATCACGTCCCTCCTCACCCACCTGGCCCTACAGCACTGGCACTATACTTTCTCCCTCCACCTCATAGTGCAACCATGCACGGGGCTTCTCACACTTGAGGCAGAGCACATAATTCAAACCTGTGCAGTACAGAAAGATGGAGGAATGGTGTTCCTTTGTTTGTCTTAGAGAAACGTCCCCATATGGAGAAAACACCCCCCAACCAAGGCCCACACCCAGAGCCTTGCTCATTGCTGCTGGTGGAGGCTGGTGGCTCGTCAGTGCTGACTACAATAGCTCCATCTCCTGACCTGCTCTTGTTCTTAAAGTTCATGGCTTTTCTGGTAGCCACAGGGGACAGGACCATGGTATTTGTCAAGAAAATTACCCTTGTACCGAGAGGCTGAAAAACAAAGGTGAGCAAAATGTGCCATGATGGGGTACTAGAGGCCCCACAAGGGCAGTTGTCAACAGCTTCTATCTCCCACCCCCAGTGAAGCACTCCACAGGAACTTGGAGGATGGTGAGGGCATCACAGTGGGGAGAGGACCTGGATGGCGGAGGAGGAGCTGAGGATATAGAGGCTTTAGCTAGGTTGGGGACTTGGGGAGTAGTGAAAGATAGGAGGCTACTGGGAAAAAGCCCAGGGCACTGAAAATTGAGAAACTTGGGTTCTAGTCACAATGTGGGTCTGACACATCATAAGGCCTCAGGCAAGTCAATTCGCCCCTCAGAGCCTCTGCTTCCATTTCTCACTGTTGAATGAGATACTGGCCAAACACACAGGAGTTTTAGTGCTTTACAAGAAAAGAAAACATTGTCCAGACCCAGGGATGGGTATAGGGAGTGCTTATCATGCGTGTGGAGACCATGAGCCAGACCCAGAAAGTGTCACAGAGGGAGAAGGGTCAGGGCTGACCATGCCTTAGGAGTTGAGAGTTGAAGTGGGTTCAGGCAGGGAAATTGCAGAATTGAAAGTGAAGGAAGCTGTCCTCTGAACTAGGTACATGGGGCTGGATTTGCAGAGACATCAGGCTCAGAAATGCACACTCAGGCTTCCTAGCATGGAAATCATAAGTTCATCTGGAGGACTAGAGTGGTCAATGAGCCAGGAAGTGACTATGGAAAAGCAAAGAGGACCCCCAAAGTTGCTGTGCAATCCCAAAGCTGGGGCCATTTGTGTGTATCTCTTCCCAACTCAGTGTTCAGTGACTTCATATGAAAAAGTCACTGAAAATCAGCTGTGGGGGTACGGCAGTATTTACATAACGGAAAACTGCAAACTAATTGGGGATGGTTCTTCACAAGCTGGTTATTAGACATTTTTACCACTCCCAAAGGACATCTCATTTTAAAGGGGGAGAGAAAAAGCCAGCCAAAGAAAACAGAAAGCAGACTCAAAGCTGGAGGTGCAGAAGCTGGAGGGAAGAATGCCCTGAATGCAAGGCAGGAGACATGGCCCAGAGGAAAAGGTCTCGTTGGTGTGGACTGGGTCCAGATGAGCCATCTGCACTCTCTCACTAGTGCACTCTGTGACTTCAGACACACGCGTTGGGACAGCTGGCTAGCCTCAAGCCAGAGGGGAAGATGACCTCAATGGGTGTATCTATGCTGCACCACCTGATCAGGCTCCGACCATGACCTTGGCCTCACTGTGATAGTGACAACACGGACTTTCTCCTGACTTTTTGTCTAATTTCTTGGTTCTTCTGGAAAATGAAAGCATGACCAAAAAGCTATTTTCACAACGTCTAAATTCTACTCTGACAAAATTTAATGATACATGGTAGAAAAACTTCATCTTTCCTGGCACACAGACATGCTAGCAATGAGAAGGAGTTAACGTACTGGCCAGATTGTACTTAGACCCTCCTCAGACACTGGCCACCCCAGACTTATGACTGTCATAGTACTGGGAGCCTTCTTGACTTCTCCCAGAGCTCAGGGCTCATTCTCTGCAGAACTCTGTCAGGCAGCAGTTACATTATGTATCTGCTCAACACTCAGGCAAGAAACCATTATGTTCACGGATCATTATTGACATCCTGACATTTGTCACCTCCTTTCATAGCAGTTAAATCTTGCTTTATCTGTAAATGTCACTATGTCATTTATTCATGAAAGGGGTCACATTCCTGAAATAGCATGCTTCAGTTTAAAAGGGGAGCTTGGCTTTATTCGCAGTGGGTAATCCTCAAACAAACTTTACTGCTGATAAATGCTTTTTTATTGGACTTTCTTGGCCTTAAATGACATCCTCAAATGTAGAATGCAGTTCTGGGTTTGTGGAAATAAAATCTGAATGTTGAACAAGAGAGAAAATTGTTGAGATTAGAATAAGTGGAGCTTTTCTGTGGCCACATGTAGTAAGTTGGATGTAAACAGATTTGAATTTATTAAGAGTAAGCCACAATTTTAATATGATTGTTACACTTCTGGAAACATGCCGATGGCCTTTTTGAATCATTTATGCCACAGAAACCTCAGTGAAATCAGGGGCCTTTTAACCTTCCTGAGTTTATCTCTTAGCTGGGGACGTTAGAGAGGAGAAATCAGCGAACTTGATGTGCTTAGTTCTCCAACCTTCAGATTCCAAGGACGCTGGGGAGATGATTAACTCATCTCAGAACTTAAGTTTGCAGGAAATAGTGTTTCTTTTCTTCACAAAGTTTGTTCAAAGTTCACTTTATGTAGGGTAATTACATAATTTATTATCCAATCGTACACCTTTCTAAAAAGAAAAGAGGTTAAAAAATAAATAATAAACAGCTATTGGTTGATCTATTAATACATCAACCATGAACCCAGACAAAACAGGCATATATCCACCCTAACTGTAAGGCTTTATCAACTGTGTTGTATCATTGTTTTGCTTTACAGGTTTATATTCACCAGCTGATAATTAAATATTATCCCAAAAAGGCTTTTCTCTCTGTGTACAGGGTCCCACAGCTATCTGACTTTGACTCATTTTTCTAACCCAGTGATTCTCAAAGTGTGGCTGGCCCATGGACTGAAATGGCCTGAAGAGGGTGTTAAAAAAATGTAATCACCTAGTCTCTAGTCAGATCTACCAAATCAGAATCTCCAAAGAGGTGGCTCAGGCACCTGCATTTTAACCTACCTCCCAAGTTCTTCTTCCACTCCCTGAAATTTGAAAGCCAACTGCTGTGATCCAAAGCTCTGGCTTGCTCTAGCTACCTCTGTGTTCTGGTCACACTGCAGTAATAAGAAGTGGGTGGGTAAATTCTGCTCTTTTTGCCTAGAAAAGTAACTTGCAGATGGGGCGTGAGCTGAAAATACATTCTCTGTTGTGCACAAATACGGAGGCCGTGACACTTCCCTCATGATGCCATCAAACCTCATCCTCCTCCCCCGCACAGAGTCGTGCATGTAACCATTTCACACCCACGAGGTGCAGGATGCATGCATAAATACAGTCTCAGAGTAGCAGGAAGATAAGAAAACAGTAAGATGACATTGGCTTCATTGCAAAACGTGATCAAATGCAATTAAAACTACTCACTCTTAGGATAGAAAAGGGCCTGGGAGGAAGATTTCTCCAGGCACTAATGAAATCTTTTTTGAGTGTCATATGGCCGCAGTGACAAAGATCACAGACCACAGCCAAACCTAAGCTCCTGCTTCCACTTGTAATCACAGGCCAGGGTCATGGTCATATGGCCAGCACTGACTCACATAACATCCTCATTAGTTCACCGGCATCATCACAGCCCTGGTAACTTCATACCACCGATGGCCACTGAAAGGGACCAGGAGGGTGGTCAGCTAAATCAAGGCAGCAGGGGCAACAGATAATCAGGGCACATTTTAGTTGTGGGGTGCTTTCATGTACATTTTTCATTATCACCTCCCTCAATTGAGTTGGGATTTCCTGTGCGCCCCGTGTGCTAGGCACTATGACAGGCCCTGATGTCATGCGTTGCATCAGGCACAGGCTGCACGGGCCAAATGGGTAACGGCCAGGAGAGTGTCACTCAAACACTGTCGGCAGAGTCTGAGGAGCACAGAGTTGTGCCTCCTGGGAGACCAGGGACTGACTCCCTGATGGAGGGACCTCAGGACCAGTGCTCACCGAGCAGAACTGGAAGGAGGCACTCACGGAGGAAAGGTGAAGGAGCAGAGCAAGAACTGGTTACATGGGATGCGTGGCCTCCCCCCTCGAGAAAATTCCAGTCCAGCAGAAAAGACACACCAGGCACACGGAGACAAGCCACCTGCAGCCGTTGTTCAGCAAGGCCTTGTGTGGGGACTAGTTTTTGAGAGACAAGGGCAACGAGGCTCAGAGAAATGAAGTCACTGGTTCAAAGTCACAGAGCAAGTTAGTGTCACAGCCAGGATTAGAATGTGGGCCTCGTAGTTCCTTGTTCAGTGTTCTTTCCTCTACACCACAAAGTGGGAAGTGTTCACAGGCTAGTTAAACTCATCCCAGGTAATACTCTGCTCTGACTAAACATCATCACAGCCTTGGCAACTTCATACTGCTGATGGCCACTGAGAGGGACCAGAAGGGTGGCCAGCCAAATCAAGGCAGCAGGGGTGGCAGATAATCAGGGCTCTCCTATGCACGCTTACACAAGCCATTCTTCCCTCGTGGGACACTCTCCTCTCTTCCTTGCACTTTGTTTATTGATCTTATCTTTTAAGAACATTCCAGCCCACAAATCCCATGGGGTACCCTAGAGATGGCTGGCTGTTCTGAGCTGTCTTGCACTGAAACAAGGGGAGGAGGTAGCCTTTATCCCTCCCACCCCCATTGAGTCCTTGAATGTGGGTTGTCCTCAGGGAGGGGGCCTGATCTTGGACAAGATAAGACCAAATATTGGAGAGAACTGAGGACGGTCAGCCAACAATGTGTCCAGCAGATGGGAAAATGAGTGCCTCAGTGCTGAAAGGGAGATCTGGGCAACACGTCACAGCATCCACTACTCCAGCTTTGCTGCTCCACACAAAGCTCCCCTAACAACCTCAGCCCCACCCTGCTCAGCCCCAATCCTTCCCTCCTCTGACCTCTAGGGTCCGGTCTGTGTCATTCACTCTGCTCTTATAGTCTTTCTTCATTTCTCTATTCTCTCTTCAACAAGGATTAACATACAGAACCTGCACATTAGGCCTTCAAAATGAAGAAATAAATATGGTATAGTTTCCAGTCTTTAGTGTATAATAGGCCTGCTTGACCAGGCCATTTGTACAAACCAGAATCTCTCCTCCTCCACTGAAGCAGGAGTCTCACCCTTCTTCTTCTGCTCTGTCGCTCCAAGTCTAGGTGGGGCTGAGCCAAGGACCACACATGACCCCAACCCCAGGGATAGTCTTCACCTCTGATGCTCACTGCCTCTGCAAGGAGCACCTGGCTCCTGGCCCTGCACAGATCACCTACCTGGGCAGCATTTGCTGAAGCACCTTGGACCCTCACATCAGCTGAGAATCCTTCACCACCACTAAGCATGGGGCTCAGCCTTCCTGCTGGGCTCCAGCCTAGGCTCATAGCCACTGTAGATCAACAGTGAGAGTCCAGGGAGGAAGTCATCATATGCCCAGGAGATGCTGATTGAGAGCCAACTGTGAGTCCACCTTAAGAATGGTAAAATCACCATCCTGGCTAACACAGTGAAACCCTGTCTCTACTGAAAATACAAAAAATTAGCTGGGCATGGTGGCAGGCGCCTGTAGTCCCAGCTACTCAGGAGGCCGAGGCAGGAGAATGGCATGAACCCGGGAGGCGGAGCTTGCAGTGAGCCGAGATCGCGCCACTGCACTCCAGCCTGGGCGACAGAGCCAGACTCCGTCTCGAAAAACAACAACAACAACAACAAAAAGAATGGTAAAATCTCAGGGCCTCTCCATTTGACCTTCAGTACCTCAACAACCAAGCAAGATCCCTGACCTCACCTTCAAATATCTTGATTCTTAAGCTTCCATTCCCATTTAAGTGGACAAATTCATCCTCAGTTCTTCCCATCTGCTCAGAGACTGACATTCACTGAGCTTTAAGGTAAGGAGAGAAAGTTTCAGTTAAAATTTCAAGCCCATTTTTAAAAAGCATAGGTCCAATTCTTCCCACTCACCAGATTCTGCCAACTCACCTGCTTTCAGCAGCCTTGATAGCCCTCCCTGAGCTGGGTGCTAGGAAGAGCCAGGACACAGTTCCTGGTCTGGGGGAGTCCAGTCTAGCTGGGAGGCAGAACGGATGTCACAGGGCCATGATGGGGCAAAACTAGCCCAGTCAGACTACCTGGCACCCATTCTTCTCAGATCCAGGCCTCTTCAGAGTTACGAGATTTATTTGAACAAATGTCCTTGTCTCACTGAATCTCAGTTTCCTAATAAATGGAGAAAATATTGACCTGTCAGGTTCACTGTAAAACTGAATGAGTGTGAATGTCAAGCACTTCATGCAGGGCCTAGCACACAGTAGGCCTGCACCTTCATAACTCTCCTTCTTCCATAAAAGTGGAATGTAACTGTGGTCGTCTGCTCCCACTCAGGAGGAGGACTTTCAAACTGGCACATCCTCTGCCTCGCTCTGTGCCTGTGAGAGAGTAGATTAACCTCCAAATGCCTCAGGTTCCTCATCTGTGGACAGTAATTGCTGTCCCTGTGGCTACCCAGCTCCAGTTATCATTGAAAGCAAAGCACAAGGTACGTTTCAGTGTGTCTGGGAGCTGGCTGGGAGACAGTTTCCAGAGAGGTGCAGGGTGGGGTTCTATTATGACCACTGGGATTGAAAAGACAGCTCTATTTTCCACTCTGTCTTTCTATGAAATTGAACTCCAGCCCTGGAAATTAATATCCCCACTGCATTTGAGTGAGGTGAGGTGGCTCTATTTTTACAAGCACAGCAGCATCAAGCCCTAGTCTGGGATGCTGTGAGCTTTTGCTGGGCTCTGCATCAGGGAATCATAATTCAGGGCCAGCCTCAGCTATGCAAACCTCCACAGGCCTTTTATGACATGAGTGCTATTGAATATTCTATAAAATCTCCTTGGACAACTGGCCCACATTTCTTTATAATCTCCCCAGACTGTTTCTGAAGTCTCTCTATAGACATTTTTACTCTAAAAATCCATAGTGTTTCTTAATAAGAATCCAGGCCTCTCGTAAGGGATTGTGGAAAGGATAAGGCTGGATCGGTCTGCAGGAGAGGTTGAGGTGGAGCCACGGCAGTCACTCTGTTCCTGTTAAGCCCTTGGATGAGGCTTCAGAGCTGAGGAACCTGTCAGCAGGATGCAATCGCTTCCAGTGGATGGAGATGAAGGAAGGGATTTAGAAGTGGAGCCATATTCACCCCCACACTCCACTGGATTCCAAGCTCTCCTAACCTGGAGTAGGAGAAGGTCAGGGAATAGGACCAAACACCTGTGTGCCTTCTGAGACGCTCCCGGCTGTCTCTTTCTCTCTTTCTGTGGGCTGGAGCCCACTTGTGCCAAGCTTTCCCCCACTTTTCCACTCGCATGAAGCACAGTATCATGAGCATGGGATCTGGCTTACTGAGCATCCACCAGGGGCTATGATTTCCTCTGGATATAACCTTGACCAGTGAGAAATGGAACTGGAAAGTAATTGGACAGATAAATATCCTCTTTTCTTCCCAATGTGGATTACTTCAAAGCGTGTTTTTTCCTCACCAACCTTCCCACGCAGCCCAGTACGCCAAGCGGCTGTGCCTGTTGAGGAACTAATGTGTCACTGCAAGGTTCACATAAACCTCTGGCTAGCAGAGGGGCAGGTGGCATTGCATTGCTTCCATCTTTCCTTGATTCACTTGCCTCTTCCTGCCATCACCCTCACCACCTTGAGCTTGTACCTCCAAAGTAGGGTGTTATTGCTTTAATTCTTGCCACAAACACTACCTTTCAAAAGGACCTGGGCTACCGTACATGTGGCTTTGCCAAGAGCGAAGATCAACTAAGTCGGCAGAGGGCTCTATCAGAGGAAGATGGGTCCTTTGGTGATCCTGGGGGACAGAACTTCTCTATGACTAATCTCCATGCCACACCACCCCCTTTTGCCTGGCACAGGCTTAGCATATGGTAGAGATTCCATAAGAAGCTGAAATATGTTGCATTAAACTGAGCATGTTAGAACCAGAAATAAACCTGAGCCCTTTCCCCAAAAAGGTTTTCTAATCAGGAGAATGAGCTATGAGCTTCTGCTAGCACTGCCCCTTGGAGTAACTGCATTTTCAAGAACCCTGTAAAGGATCATGCACCGTATACTCACCCTTCAATCTTTTACAACTTTTGAAACTCTTTCACAGGTTATAGTTTATCAGATTCTCATAGAAAGTCTCCAAAACAAAGTAGATAGCATTTTACTTAAATTGACATTTAACACCCAGGGAAACCAAGACTTGCAGAGGTGACATGATTTTCCCAAGCTCATACAAAGTCCAGGCCCTTTACTGTGGTGCTATCATACTAAAACAGGTAGAGGTCCCAGGCACCAGTTCACGTGCTCTTACATACTAATTGCACAGACAAGAGAGACCATTCATACTGCCTGGCATATGCCTTTTGTCCAAAGACCATAGTTGTATTCATGTCCTCAAATGAACAAAGGGAACACGGTGATCCCTCTGGAACACGGTGAGCACAAGCCTCTCTTTGTTCTTCTCTGCATTGCTAAGTTCATCTCAGTCCTCAAAGAGCAGCCAGGCTTCCCAGCATGGTCTCTGGTCCTGGTCTTCCAAGGAGCAGCATTGGCAGGGGAGATAGATCACAGGAAAAGAAACACATTAGAAATTCCATTCCCCAAACCGGGCACTTTGGACTCCAGCAAGCACTGGGTGATGCCACTGTTTCTGTCCCACTGACCTTCTGTTGCAAGTGTGGGGTACACATGCAGAAGGAGGCATTGGTCTCCCTCAAACCCCATGCTAACCCCTCCCCTTCTTCTCCAAGGTCCGACAGCACTCACAGTTTCAGCACACAGCTTAGTGTTGATCATATAACTCCTAAAATTGTTTTTCCTAGTTCTTATTCCACAAGCATTAACCTCTTACTAGTTGCCAGATATTAAGGATATAATAAATAAGGCATCATGCTTGCCTTCAAAGAGATCACAGTCTAGAGGGAAGACAGGCACCTAAGTAGACAATTATAAGACCATGGGAGGACAATAAAGGCAAGAACATCTACTCAGAAGAGAGTAAGTAACTCTCCCTGGAGTTGGGAGAGACTTCACAGAGGAGGTGGCGTCTGAGTTGGAACCAGTGGATGAACAGGAGTTTGCCGCAGTTGACAAGAGTGTCAGAGGACAGAGCTTGTACCAGTGCACATTAGGAAGAACCAGAACCATGGAGGCAGCCAGAAACTCAGACACTAGAACAAGGTGTGAGGGGAACAGTAGGGGACAGGCTGAGGCCAACTCATGAAGGGTGTTAAATGCCAAATTGAGGAGAAAGTCTTTCCATGTCCTCAGAAACAGGGCTGGTGTCCTTTACAGTTCTATCCCTCCCAGACCTAGCCCAAGGCTGATAACCTAGGAGTGGTCCTCTCCCCACCACACACACTTGGAGCTGGACCACTTGAACCCCTCAAAGAAGAACTAAGTGCCTCGGAAGACTCTGGATGGAAAATCCAGCTTCATCTCCAAGGCTCCTTCCTGGTAGGAAATGTCCCTGTGAAAATGAGACCTGGAGGCAGGATGGAAAAGCTCCCCCTCTTGTCCTGCTGCTGCGGCTTCCCAGGATCATATAAGCCCAAGTTGCCTGTCATCAGCCACCAAAGCCATTTTTTATTCCAAATAAAGAAAAGGACCAGCTGTCTGTCTGCCTTAACTTCCTGCCTGACCCAGGAGAAAGGAAAGAAAAAGACAGACAGACAATTAAAGACAGAGCTTTATGAGCAAATACAGAGAGATACAAAATGGAATTGGGCCATGAGACATGGAAACAAACAGCAAGAAATAGAGTGAGACAAAAAGACACAGGGCCAGCCCAGAGAAAGAAGCAAAATACTTTTTAAAAAGAAAGCTGAAGAGTTCAAATAAAACTGGGGGAGTTATAACCATTTAAAGTGATTAATAAATTCGGGACTGAAAGAAACAAGATGAGAAGATTATCCTCTTCCAACAGTTTGGCCACCAAACAGAAAAAGAAAAGAAACAAGGAAATTCCCTGAGTAATGCCATGCTGGCCAATGCTGGAGACTCTCTCCATCCAGCATTTTCCTGAGGCCAGAAGCAATGTTGGGCTCTGGAGCCAACTGTTTGCCAAATGCTAAGTCCTGAAATATCACCTCCACCTCCTGCATTCAAAAGTTCCTCCCCCAGGAAGGCAACTAGGGCTGGATTCTCCTTTTACTGGGGATACAGAGGAAAAGCACTAGTGTTTTACAGCGGCTCTAGTTACCTTGGAAGTACTCAGAAGAAGGTGCACACTTGCATTTTTTTTTTTTTTACTGTCTTTCAGAAATCTCAGTCCGGCTCACTAGCATGACTGGTTCCAACTTCTTCAGCACAAGCTCTTCTCAATTTTCCTTCTTCAGAAGCCGGTGCTCTTTACTGGCCTCCTGTCGGGGGCTCCTGCCTGCACATTCTCTGCCTGAGCCTGCTTGCTGCACGGCTCAGTGCCAAGCTCTCTGTCATCTCCCTGTCTGCATCAGGGGCCCTCTCATTTCAGTGGCTCCTGGGATGCTCCAGTGGCAAAACCCCAGGAGATACTCAGCTCCCGCTGTTCTTCCCGGAAGGAACTTTAACAGATACAATGATCAGAAAAAAGCAAAACAGACACAGGAAGGCAGAAAAGGCAGATGAAACTTCTATAACTTATATCACCAAACATGTTGCCTCCTCTATGTGGTAGACACATTTACATGCATTGTCTTTTGTTGATTCAGTGCAATTCTAAAATAATCTGCTCCACTTGGAGCACAGACGCAAACCCAGAGACGTTAAAAGGGCCTTTTAGATTCAGCCTTTGACAGCTGAATCTAAAAACAGCTGTCAAAGAGCCCATAGGTTGTACTCTAAAGAAGAAGTAGCCAGCACTTTGGGAGGCCGAGGCGGGTGGATCACGAGGTCAGGAGATCGAGACCATCCTGGCTAACACGGTGAAACCCCGTCTCTACTAAAAATACAAAAAATTAGCTGGGCGTGGTGGCGGGCGCCTGTAGTCCCAGCTACTCGGGCGGCTGAGGCAGGAGAATGGCGTGAACCCAGGAGGCGGAGCTCGCAGTGAGCCGAGATCGCGCCACTGCACTCCAGGCTGGGCGACAGAGCGAGACTCCGTCTCAAAAAAAAGAGAAGAGGTAGTACCACCTTCATGTCCTTCCCTGTGACCTAAAATCAAGTTTAAAAATAAAGATGCCTAGGATGTTTTTCCTGATCCCAGGGCTAGTTAGTAATTTTAAGTCCACAGACAATGGGTATCACTAAAAGGAGCAGCACTGAGAAGGAGGAGCCAACAGGAATAGTTTAGGATAAGAGCTAATTGGCACCGTTTCATGCTGGAAGGTGTCACTATATTATAGCCCTACAAGAAAATAGGTTCTCCTAAAGATCGAGAGAATTTAGAGCTATGGAGGCACCACGTGGAGTAACGGCTTCATTTTACAGATGGGAAAACTGAGGCCCAGGGATGAGATACCCTAGGTAAAATGGTGTCCTGGCTGCTGTTTTAGGAAGCAGGGAGGAAGCAATCCATCTTTTCAAAAGAGATCCAGAAAGTATGTGCAAGTCTAACAAAGGAGACTTCTGTAATCTGAAATATACACTTTTGCAGGCCAGCTCCTTCCCCAAGCACACAAGATAGGCAGTGTGTCCAGGCACCAGGGAGAGGGGCGCAGAAATCCAGTTGCACAGAAATTGTACAAAAGGCAGGCAGCTGCGCTTAGTGCAGGAAGCTAGCACAGCCAGTAACAGCAGGGTCTGTCTGCCTGAGATCTGGACTCCTATCTCTGGAGACCTAAAGAACTAAAAATCACATATGGCCAGAGGCAGGGAAATCACCCAGCAAGCCTTGGGCACGCTACTGGATTTGGGCAGCTCCTCTGTTGAATTTTAATGAAGTAATTAAGAGCTAGATAATAGAGATGGGGCTCTGCAGAGCAACACTCACAGACCTAACCTCTTTGATATGTTCCTTCATCAGGAAGCAACTCTATCACTAGATGGCTTCATTAATATTCAGGCCTGCTCTCTAGCTCTTAAAGTGATCTATGCCAAAGTTTGTTAGTCTTTTAAATTACCTGCCGAGGACCCCTCCACCCCACCCCCGATAAAAAGGAAGAATGAATGCATTCTAAAGAAAGGACAATGTCACCGAGGGTGCTAGAAGAGATAAACCCTGCTCGTATTTCCTTTTCAGAAAGTAGTCTGGATAACCAAGAAGAAATAATTATGGGACACCCTCAGTGCAGACTGACGAGGAGAGATGGACTGGGACAGAAAAGATCCAGAGAATGGCAGCCCAAGAGAGCGAGCAGCCTGTTTTCACCAGGGATACCTGTCTTTTAGAGTTGGCCTCATGGCAGATACCTTGACCACTGGACAGCCCAGAGGTTAACTCCTTAATCCAGAGCAAAGATAAAGAAGCCTAATGCTTGGGCTCCAAATGGCCCAGAGAACTTTGTCCAGAGAACCCTAAACTTCTGCCCAAGAGGTAGGTATACCTTTGTCCCCCAGGGTCAGGGAACAGAGAAGGGCTGACTCTCCTTTTTGCTCACCTCATATATTCTCCCTGTTCCCTTTGCCTCCTTGTTTGTCAAGGCCCATATGAAACCTCCTCTCCTGCAGGGAAACTTCCTGTATAATCATGGAGGCTTAGAGGTGGGACCTCAGATTTCAGCCTACCCCATCTTCTCTCCCGCTCCTGTATTATCACTTTAAATAATTCCCAATTAAGAAGATCCAGCTTCTCCATGACTATTACCAAGGACAGGAAGATTACTCTTCCACAAGTTCAGTGTCAGTCATTTCTTGCTGTAAACATGTACTAAAAAGAATTCTGTTTCCCGACTACTTGAATGCATTAAAAATAGCTTTGTGGTGTGCCTATAAGGGAGTAGCATGGGGGAACCTTATGGTGAGAGTCTAGTTCTGTATCTTGACTGTGGTGGTTACATGAAGTCATTCATGGACCCTCCCCCCTTCCCGACACACACACACACACACACACACACACACACACACACACACGTTCATGCAAACCTGGTGAAACCTAAAAAAGCGCTGTGGATTATATCAATGTTAATTATCTGGTATGGATACGGAATCACAGTTATGCCAAGTGTCAAGAATGGAGGAGGCTGGGTGAAGAATGCAGGGGACATTCCCATGCATGTCTTTGCAATTTCCCGCAAATCTATGGTTATTTTAAAATAAGAAGTTAAAACAAAATAGCAGACATCTTTTGAAAGTATGTGTGTGCCATGCACTGTTTAAATACTTTTTAGGTATTAACTCACTTAAACCTGAAAACCACCATAGATAGTAGGTACTACTATTTTCCCCATTCTACAGATGGAGACACTTACGCACAGAGAGATGAAGTCACTTTCCCAAGATCACACAGCTAGTGGGTGGTGGAGCCAGGATTAGAACCCAAGCTGTCTGATGCCAGAGCGTCCCTGCTTGGCTGGCACTTTGCCTCATGACACTACAGATCTGGCAGGAGGAAGATGAAGTAAACTTCATCACTTATTTAATACACCATATTCATCACTATAATCAATCTGTTAACAACTCATATCTCTACAGAATTCTGTCACTCAGAGGGGTTTCACACACTCCATCTCACTGGAGCCTCACAACAATCCTGTGAGACAAATTTTTATTTTCTGTAATTCCCAGATGAGAACACTGAGGTTCCAGCCCTCGGACACCCAGTCTTAGGCCCCTGCCACCTGACATTCCCAGTCTTCTGCTGCTTTCTTGCAGCTATCAGAAAGTAACCCAGCTATTCCAAAATGAAAAGCCTTCATTAATTTTAGTCAGCCTTCCCCTGGAAACAGTAACCTGAAATGCCCACTCCCTTGAGGAGGTGGCTAAAGGAAGAGGATGGAGTGATGCGCATTTAGGCATCAGGACTGGCTGGCTTAATGAGGCAGCAGAAAGCAGGCTCTGGAGTCCCACCCCCTGGAGAAGTCCCAGGGTATCCTCTTACTTTCCAACAGTGCAGTGTCAGGGCAAACAGGCACTCTTACAAACACGTGCCCCGAGGCCCCCAGTAATTCTAAATAGAATCAGCTTGTACAATTCATTGCCTACCTCTCTGCCTCGTCCAAATCACAGAGGAAAAGAAGTGACAGAAGCAAATGAGCAGGCTTTGCCCTAATACAGGAGGATTTAGGGAAACTCTACAGGGGGAGTGGGGTGGAAGGGTAGGCGAGCACACAGAACTTTCTACCAGAAAATAGTGACAGTCTAACATAGTGTTTGATACTCTATCATCAGTGAGTCATTTATTTGCCAAGAGAAGATTTTTTCAACTCTGGGAATCTCCTTTAAAAACACAACTGTCTCTGAGAAGGTTTATTTCTCACATTCTTATGGAATAAGGTAAATAAGGATCAGCTGACAGCCAGCCTTTGCTGGGATGAAACATCACAGTGGGGTCTGCTGTCTTCTCAGGGAAGTCGGGAAGGGAGGACAGAAAAAGGAAGGAGGCAGACATTTAATGGCATGATCAAGAGTTGTTTCTAGACAGGAAATTGCTATGATCTGAATATTTGTATTCTCCACCTCCAAAATTCCTATGAGGAAACCTAATCCCAAGTGTGATGGAATTAGAAGGTGGGGCCTTTGAGAGGCGATTAGGTCCTGAGGTTGGTGTCCTCATGTATGGGATAAGTAACCCTTAGAAGAGATAAAAGAGAGTTTATTTTCTCTCTGTTTCTCTCTGCTCTCCACCATGTAAGGGAAGAGCCAGAGAAAAGTCCTCTGCAAACCGGGAAGAGGGCCCTCACCAGAACCTGACCATACTAGTGCCCTGATCTCAAACTTTCCAATCTCCGAACTGTGAGAGATACATTTCTGTTGTTTAAGCCACCTAGTCCATGTTATTCTGTTTTTCTGTTAGAGCAGTCTGGACAAATTGAGCCAGAAAATGATATATTTCTAGGCATATTCTGTAGCAACCCTCAGAGAGCAAAAGCTACAACGATGTTCATGGGTTCAGGACATTTCTAAAAGTTCTCCTGGCATTGGCCTTCCCCTGGAAGGACTAGGCCTGCCCTTTTCGCAGACTCTTCTCTGATTTGCATCTTGGATGCTCCTACAGAAAGCCCTAATTTGGGAAATCAAGCCTCTTCAGCCTGGCTATGTTTCACTTCATTTCAATAAGATTTAACATACATTTATCATTTACATACTCAGAGTAGGGCACCAGGTTGGGTGCTGGGAGCACAAAAGGGGATAAGCCATGCCCAGCCGGGGCTCTCTACAGTCTCCTCTTGGGGAAAAGGTAATCTCAGCCATCCTGGTCCAGAAAAGTCTGGGTCCCTCTCCAAGGGACTTACATTGGCCAGCCTGGAGCCATCAGATTCTCCTGCTGATCCCTTCTCTAGTAGAGAGTCCGTGTGTCAGTGCATTCATCAGCTATTGCTTCAAAATAATGAGGCATGGCAAACAATCCCCAGATCTCATTGGGCTTACAACAATAAACATTCATTTTTCTCCCTCACGGATCTGCAGGTAGGCTAGGATTTAGCTGATCTCAACTGGGCTCAGCAAGGCTTGGATCTGAACTAAGAATTGAGTTCAGGTGTGCTCCATATGTCTCCTCATTCCATGGACCAGAAATCAGCCAAGGCATGTTTTTCTTATGGCAGATGCAGAAATGCAAGAGGCCAAGCCAAATAACCAAAGCATATTGAAAACCTCTGCTTATATCATGTATCCTAACATCCATGGTTAAAGCCATGACCGCCATCAACAGGATATATATTCCTGTTCCAGTGGGAGGTATTCCAAAGTCACATGAAAAGCCCATGAATATATCATTCTACTACAGGAAAGGAGAAATGAGTTAAGATCAATAATCCATCTACCAGTCGGTAATAACTAACTTACTGTTTGAGACAAGTTCCTAAAACCTCAGATGCCCCTGACAGAGCAGAGCCTCTGAGGCCCAAGACATGAGACAGAATCATTAGCCAATCAGTTCCACTTCCCTTCCATTGTGGCCTAGCACAACAATGGCCCATTGTAACCAGGAAGCAGCTGTGGACACAAAGGGAAACATCCTTCATTGTGTCTTCCTGGCTTTGTTCCAGGCCCCAGTAGAATACAAACCAGAAGCTCGGGCAGCCTTTGCGCTGGACTAAGGTGAATCATCTTTGTAGCAACTCTGGCCACCAGAGACGGTAAGATAATAATGTCAAATATCACGGGGCCAGACCTTCCTATGGGCTCTCCTCCACTATCCTTACAGGCTGTGGTTTCTCAGCCCCAAGGAGCAGCCAGAGTCATCTAATCCTCATGATCAAAGCCTTACATTAATATCTGCCATTTTCTGAAGGGCTTGCTGTGTGCCAGGCACCATGCAAAATATTGTATTTTGATCTACTCCTCTGAAGACCCTGTGAAGGGTCACCCCACTTTACAGATGAAGTTCAAAGAAGTAAGATCATTTTCTTATGGCTACAGAGCATGAGGCCTTCCAGAGGCAAAGGTATAAAGATGAATGGGACAGAGGTCACGTGGCTGAACACCAGCTCTTCTTTTAAATAACATCCAAGTTGTTAATCCCAATTCTGGGGTCTCAGTTTCACCATTTGTAAGTTGTTGCCATATAAGCTGACAGAGGGTTCAGTGAAAATTGAGGAAGAGAGCTTTGTGCAGAGCTAAGATTTTGGTGCCCCTGGTGAAGCACACACAGGAGCTCTTGACCTATGACTTCAGATGTTACCTTTATCTCCGATGGCCTATCTTTAGAACATCTCTGAGCTACAGCAAGGCTCAGTGGCAAAAAGTCAAAGGAGGAAAGTCTGTGTCATAAAAAGAGAAATTCTCTGTTGGGTCTGACTATGAGCTCCTTTCTCCTTAGTGGTGTAGTATGGCTTCCCTGGACCCCTTGCCAACAGGCTGCTCCATAGTAGTCCAGGAGAGAGGGGACGGTCACCCTCTGCTGACAGCACACAGTTACTTTGGTCCACACAACTATGCAGTAGGAGTTGCTCAGTTGTACTGCCATCAAGCAGGGGGAGGGGGCACACACTGCCACTTTCCTCGGCTACACCAGGGTTTCCTGGCCAGCTTGTCCTTACTCCTCAAAGCTTGGGGAGCCGACTCCTCTAGGTATAGGGGGCTTAGAAGACAGGTGATTTTGAGTGATTAGGTCAGATGGAGCCTGAACTCTCTCTCTTCTCCAGTCCTATCAGATTACTCAGAAGGGACTCCACATCCATCACACACGGAGTCTCAGTGTTCCTCAGATAGGGAACCCCCAGGGCTAGCTGGAGCAATAAAGTGGTCCTGAGGCCACTTTCTCTGCCCTCTGGTGCTGAGCCTGCTGGCACCGCTTTTTAAGCCAATGTTGAGGAATGGGGCTGGTTGCTGATGGAAGGAGAAATGACAGGTTTCCTGAAAAGAACCCAAGAGCTCCTCAGTGGGCAAAGGAGAACAAAAGGTGAGCCAGAGCCCAGGTCAGGTCAAGCCTGTGTCCAGAGGAGGGCTCCCTCTTCCCAGCTCTTTCCCCACCCTGTGTGCCATTTAGAATGAAAGGCATGGACAAGGGGAAAGAAGGGAGCTATGGTCCCCGCATGAAGGCCTCCTTGGCAAAAGGCTTCAATCACAGTTGTCCAGCACCCATGGAACTGGGGAAGCAATGAGGGGCAGCCGAGGCTGCTATTTAGCTCCTCCATCCATGTATTTTCTACAATAAAGTGTGATTAAGGCCAGAGAGAGCCCCAGAAGTTCCCTTCTTTAGAAAATCATCATCAGAGGCCTATTTGACTTTGGAAAACAAAACAAAAGAGAAAAAAACGCTTGACCCAAACTTTCTCAAACAGTGAGCCATTCTTTCTGTGAGCACACTGGCTAGAATTCTTAATAAGTTTGAATAGGAAAAGTGCCTTGTCATTCTTTTCCATGCTTTCTGTCTCTTCAGCCCCGGGAAGCCCCCCCAGCTGATGAAGAGCCTGCCTGGAGCTCACACAGCATCTCCTGCCCTCCACAGTGTAGTTCGTGCCACACTGTATTGGTATCATCCTTCCCTCCACCTTCTCAAAGAAAGAAAATTTTCAGCTTTTGTACATTCTGGCTAATAGGAAGGACATTTTCCAAGTCCATTAAAAAATAAAGTTCCTTTTTACCTAGAAGCCTTCTCTGATCCTTCTGTGTCCTCATTCTACACACTGGAATGCCACAGAGATTTCCTCTTCTTTGAGTGATGGGGCTCAAAGCTCATGTGTCTTAGGAGATATGAAGGCCAGCACTGGGCTTAAGTTCAGTCCTCCTAGGTAGAGGGTTCAGCAACTCAAATGCAGGGGCCATAGGGGACAAGTCTCCATGCCCTAAGCTCTCATGCCTCCAACAGAGCAGGCTGAAGGTATATGTTGAGTCAGCCTTTACTCACTGATGCATGGCTGGGGGCAGAACTGTGCCTAGGTGGCACGCCACCTCCCTAAGTCACTATAAGTTTGAGCACCAAGGTCAGGATCACTAGCACTGTCTCCTGTCCTGTCTCCTTCTCTGAATCAGAGCAACCCACATTCTCTAGAAAATGCTCCAGTCCTGTCTTTCCCATCTCTTTGCAGATGGCTCCAGAGGAAAGCTGTTAAGTGGCCACTATGCAGGGAGGGCAGAGAGGAGGAAGAGTGTTCAAGGCAGAGTCAAACCCTGGTCTACAGGGAAGGAAAACAGTGAGGCCTGGGAAAACAGTGAGCTCAGTACAGACTATAAGACACAGCAGCTCCCACTCTACCATCGCCCACCTCCACACCTTCTCAGCCATCCACACCTCCCAGACCACATTGTACTTCATATCTGGAGTGGCTGAGCCCATTGCAATCTCTCTGGAAGGCATTAAGGCCTAGAGGGAACTGGAGGGACTGAGGATCAAGAAGTTCCTCGTAGGAGTCTCTAACTAACATGTTCAAGATCTTAATGCCAGGAACTCAGAAAAGTCCAGACTCTTGCACACACAAGGCTTCCTCTTGTTGGACTGTATCTATCAGCAGGTGCTCTCCATCATCTAGGTGAAACAGATGGAGCAGCTTGAGCCATAGTGAGCCTCCACAAAGTGCCCACTTAGTATGGGAGGCAAGACTCACACAGAAGTAAGCTAAGGACATCATGCTGTGGATGGATAGATTGCACAGGTGACACAGACATTCAGAGCAGCAGGAATTCACATGAAGAAGAGAGATCACTTGTGATTGTAGACCCCTAAAGATGGTAAGGTTTTAACAGGCTCCCAAATGAGAAACACATCAATTTAAATGGGGAAAAAGGTCAGATAAATTTTCAATGTTAAAGGTCATGTAAATGTAGGCTTGATGATAAGATATGCAAAACTGTACATTTTAAGCAATGGCGGAATGGGCCATTCAATGCCACTGTATGAAATGATTCTTTCTTCTTAGGCTCCATATTAGTTTAAAATAAAATAAAACCATTTCCCGCTTGATTACAGTTAGAATCAGAGAAGGATTTTCAGTCTGACCCTCAGTAGTGTTTAAAACAGTGGAAAAGAACAGATAAGGCACTGAATAAAATAAATGTTTCCAATCTCAATCCAGTTACTGCTGAATGCAGCAGCGGATTGGAAAGGTAGGTCACCTCTGGCATTCTCAGCCATAAGAAATTTAACGATGGATGAAAACGGATAAAATCAAGATGCTGTGATAGAACGGGGGGCTTCAATATCTCAGAAAATTAGGATCCTTGTAACCAATTTTACAATGGCTGGATTATAGCTAAATAGGATTTTAAGTCTATTGTAAATGAAAGGAAATCTAAATTAACTGGGCCACATCATTTTCACTGAAATGTGATAAACGCTAATTTCCTTTCTGGGCAACAGTGACTTGGCTTGCGATAGCTGTTTGCGAGGTGCTCAAGTCTGACCAATCTCAAATTGGCCTTTTCCAGTCCTAAGGCTGAGCCCTGAAATCCACATTTTTAGGATGGGGAGGGCATTAAGGGAATCAGTCAAAATTTCCCCTATTTTGCTCCACGGCCTCACCACTGGGTGCCCAAGGACATTCAACTACTTTTTAGAACCACCTCTCTCTACCCACTTTAGCGTGACCAGAGCAGCAAGATAGTCTCCCAAGCACCCGATTTTAAGATCTCTCCCTCTATACTTCTTTATTGTGACTGTTTCTGTTCCAAGCAAAGTATAAACAACCAAAGGCAAAGTTTTCACATACACAAAAGCCAAGAGACAGAAAAGGATAGGCTAGCATGACAGACAGTGAGCAGTGAGCATGGTTGGTGCACAAGACACCAGATGGAAAACAATGTATTTCTATATCTTACTGAAAAGCCCCCAAGCTTTCCAATTCTGGGGTAATTCTTTTCTTTAATATGCAAATAAAATAATTGACATCCCTCTTTCATTTCCCTATGACACCACTTCCTTGGGAAAGCAAACATGTTGTGATTGCTGCTAGTCTCCAAGGCAACTGTTGACACAAGATTGTAGTAATTAACCAGCCTTCCTGAACACTTGAGGATACAGATGTCCCAGCGCCTGCTGTGAGGACCTGCCTTTTGATTCTCTCTTTTGTATGCCAAGCTCTCCCCATGCTTGGTGGCACTCACCATATCTAGCCCCAATGGAAAATCCCTCTGGATGTGACAGAGATTGCCTCGTATGTGGACCAGAGTGTTGCCCCATATTCTCTCTCTGCATTTCCATGGGGAAGTATGAGTCATCTTCCCCTTGGTGAATTTTTCAGTGGGAAAGAAGGTAGAAGGACAGAGTTTCAAATCCCCTTCACTGCTTTTATTCCTGCCTCTATCCTATCTGGGAAGGGTATCTTTCAGAATAGTGAAAGATGAAAATTATGCTGAGTGTGGCATTTAGTATAATAAGCGAAATTTTACAGACTTGAAAGAGCTCTAAGCCTGGATGGCGTGGCTCTATCCCTGCCCTTCCAAGAAGCAGGTAGTATATTGTTTCCTTGTCCCAGAGCCCGCTAAAAGCCAGGATGCTTGCACCATAGACAATGGGTGTAAAAAGAATGAAAGAAAGAACTCCTGGAAGTCCATTCAGGGATAGCTCTCTGTGAACCAAAAGGCAATTTTGATGAGAAAAATAAATGCATTTTTATGCAATCCTATGGAATCTCTGATATATATATCAGTCCAAGGCATGCATGGGAATTACCACCTGTCAACTGGAATCTTACAGCCTTCCTGAAGGGGAGTTAGATGTGTCACTCCCATACCCTCACATTTAGAGAAACCTTATGTCTCCACTCCTGGATTTTCTTAGTCCCTTACCTTCCTCCAGCTCACTCTCCAGCTCCCAGTCTCAACCATGCAGCCCTCACCCACTGCTCTCCTGATGCACTCCCACTTGCTCATTCATTTGGCTTCACCCCATTGGCCTCTGTGCTGTTCCTCAAAGAGCCAAGCAAGCTCCTCCCTGTCAAAGGGCCTGTCCAGTCACTTGTTTTTTCCACCCAGAATGCCCTTTTCCCAGGTTGCTTCACATCCTGCTTCTTTTTGTTAACATTTCTGCCTAATTGTCACCTTCTCAGATAGGCCTTCCTTATTTAAAAGATCATCTCACCCTATTCTTTTATCTTGATTTTGTTTTCTTTATAGCACCTTGACCTGGGAAAACCGAAGTACTATGTGTGTGCACATAAATATATTGTGTAAGCGTATGTTAACTGTCCACAGAACCCAATCAGCATGAAAGCTGCAGGACAGCAGGGTCTTTGTCTGCTTTGCTCATTCCTATTTTCTCCAAATCTAGGGAAGTGTTTGGCATATTATAGGGTATTCAATAAGTAAATGACACAAACATTTTATATGATTTCAATGTAGGAGTTCATCTTTTTTTCCACCAAATAAGTAAGCCAGTATCCCCATTATTGGCTACAAAATACTTCATCACTTACCTATTAATTGTGTGGTGCTGTCTTTATCATAGACCAAGTTCCCATATTTACAAGCATTGGTTTATGAGTCTTCTATTCTGTTTCTCTTTCTCTTTGCTCCACTTTTTGAAGCTGACTTATTTATAAACCTAACATAAGTTTTTGGAAGTCTGTCAAAATCTTCAAAAGAATCTAAATTGAATACTGATTGAGGACTCATGGATTAATTTGGGGAGATTTGACTTATATCTAATGTCAAGTCATTCCCATCCCTGAACATGACTCTCTCCATTTATCCAGATTTTTTACGTCCCTTAATATTGTTTTAAATATATTCTCTAAAGGACTTCTGCAATTCTTCATTAGGTTAATTTCTGGGTGTTTTGTATATTTATGCCCATTATCAGTATCTTATTTTCTAGTGTTATTTTCCAGTTGACTATTACAGAGGAAGGTTATTGATTTCTGTAAATTGTTCTCATATCTAGGAACACCGCGGATCTGTCTTATTAGTTCTAATTGTTCATCTGATAATTTCAAAGGGTTTTCTATACAACATATTATACCATGTACATACGTTGGCAGTTTACTTTCTTCCCTTTTGATTTTTAGTCATATTTATATTTCCAGTGTTAATTGTAAGCTGCCTTTTCAAAATCTAGTATCTTAAGAATTACTGTGGGCCTTTCTGTGGGTTATAACTGGTGTGTGCAGTTTTCAAAAGCTCCCAGTGTGATTCTGATGCATTGTCTCACCCCTACCCCACATGAAGAGCTATGGCTCTATCTAGCAGTAGTGTGGGCTCCACACTGGAAGACAAAGAAATGGTGTAAGGCATAGACTTTGCCCTTGAATCACTTACCGTCTCAGTGGGGAAACAAAACTTGTACTGGACACCACCAGAATATTAAGTACTAAATTTTCTGGAAAATTTTACACATGAAAGAACATTAAAATAAACACTGTAGGAGACAATAAGAAACGAAGAATAGCTTGGTCGTGTGTAAAGGATTCACTGTGACTATTAGACTTGATTTTTTAAAGGAAAATAAATAACATGGAATTCTGTCTTGCTTCTTTGGGAAGAAGGTTTGAGCTGGCGATCTCCTCCACTGCCCATCAGTTTGTTTTGTAGTTAAGTATCCACTAGGGAAAAAATGAACCACATTAACAGAGGAAGTTAGAATGGTGGAGGGGCTTCTAATTAAAGTCATTTACTTAAAATTAAATGGCTCTGACACAATTGTCCAACCTGAAGTACACGACTCAATCTGTTGCATATGAGTTTGCACATGTATGTGCATATGTGTGTGTATTTAACTTTTAAAATGATGTTATAATGAACCACCATATTTGCGCTCCACAGGCTGGCCATGGGAACACTGTCCCATGCAGAAGTTTTTAATAAGCTAGTGGTTCTTTTCCAGTGCTTTAGGAAATTTTTATAGAAACATGCACTAAGTCTGGAAGTAGAGACTTAAAAAAAAAACTGGCCGGGCGCGGTGGCTCACGCCTGTAATCCCAGCACTTTGGGAGGCCGAGTCGGGCTGATCACAAGGTCATGAGATCAAGACCATCCTGGCTAACACGGTGAAACCCTGTTTCTACTAAAAATACAAAAAATTAACTGGGCATGGTGGCATGCACCTGTAGGCCCAGCTAGTTGGGAGGCTGAGGCAGGGGAACTGCCTGAACCCCGGGAGGCAGAGGTTGCAGTGAGCCGAGATCGCGCCACTGCACTCCAGCCTGGATGACAGAGCGTGACTCCATCTCAAAACAAACAAACAAACAAATAAAAAACAGCTCACCCAAATCCCCACAGCAAATATATGAGATTCTAGGATTCACATATTTGTTTTAGACTCATTGCTGGTTCCATGTTTCTCTCTTTTTTTTTTTTTCTCCTTTCAACAGTATATCCCCTGGCTTAAAACCATATTGGAGCAAGGCAGGGGAAAATATTCATTTCTAGCATCTACTACGTGGTTTTCAAATGTGTGGGCCCCTGACTGCCAGCATCAGCATCACCAGAGAACTTGTTAAAATTAAAAAGCTTAAGCTCAACCTCAGACATACTGAATCAGAAACTCTGGGGACACAGCCCAATAATCTATATTTTAATTAGCCTCCCATTGATTCTGATACTGGCTGAAGTGTGAGAACCACTCTCCTAATAGGTGACAAGCATGCCAGTCCTGCAAGAATCATAAGGCCAGTCCCGAAAATGAGAGTGGGGAGGGCTTAAAGGATGGACTGAGGTTGGGTTAAATGTTTTGGTCATCTTTTAACATTTTGGAAAATTTTCAATTCATCATGTGACTTTCAACAATTATACTGCAAACAACTCCTCAGAGAGCCATCCAGCCATGTTGAAATGTCAACTTTTATTTGAGGCTGTTGGTGTGAATTGGGTTTATTTTCATTGAGAATACTTTAACCCACATTTCTCGAATTGCAGAAGGGCACCCAAGTGCCCCATGGTTAATAGATAGAAACCTGATAATCTGGATCAGCAGTTTTCAAACTTATCAGACCTAACTGTCGTTTACAATCGTAAAACGAAATTCAATATAACTTTCCTATGCACAATTTTAAAATAGTAAAATATCCTAATGATAATATAAAAGAAAACAGAAATAATGTAATTTATAACAAAATAACATGTATTTTAGTAAGTTAATGCCTACTCAAGAACACATAAAGCAGTTAGATGGCTTCCCCCAAAAGAAACCTCTACAAATACAGGCATACTGCATTTATTATCAGTAGCACTGCTCTCGGTGATGGAATGTTCCAAAATGGTGAACAACACTTGCTAAAATTTCAAACAAAACAGAATAGAATTTTCTCTCAATTTACATAATGCTCACATTCCTGGAAAATTCAGTGTCTAGTAAAATAGTGCAAAATAAACTTTGTGTTTATATGTAGACTGGAGTTTGTTTCTAGGCTCAAATAATTATGGATATGTTTTTCATCTACCTGAATATGTGAAGGATTATTTGAAAATCAGGTGAGCCATGGGATTACTCAATGTGCAGGACCGTATCACATACTGCAGGGTATCTAGCATATCTGATTCATGTCCAGCAAATGTCAGTGACCCCCTTCCAATCATTGTGATAACCAAAGTGGCCCCCATAAATTTCCAAAACACCCTTAAGAAGTAGAAATGTCACCACTGATCTTGACAAAAATCTATCTAAATATTCATTCATTACTTACTCAACAAATTGCACAATTAATTTATTTTCAGCATGGTGCTTCCTAAGTGATGGGACCACAGAGCTTACATTCTATTAGGAGATGATACAGTTTGGATGTCCCCTTCAAATCTCATGTTGAAATGTGCTCCCCAATGTTGGAGATGGGGCCCGGTGGAAGGTGTTTGGGTTGTGGGGGCAGATCCCTCATGAATGTCTTGGTGCTGTCCTCACCAGAGTGAGTGAGTTCTCATGAGATCTGGTTGTTGTAAAGTGCAGCACCTGCCCCTCTCCACTCTCTCTTGCACCTGCCCTGGCCATATGACGTGCCTGCTCTCACTTTGCCTACAGCCATCAGTAAAAGCTTCCTGAGGCCTCCCTAGAAGCAGATGCTACTGCTGTGCTTCCTGTACAGCCTGCAGAATCATGACCCAATTAAACCTCTTTTCTTATAAATTACTCAGTCTTGGGTGTCTCTTTATAGCAAAGCAAGAATGGCCTAATACAGGGGACATGGAACATATGAAATCATCAAGTGACCACAAGGTAATACATAAATAATGCTAGACATAAAAGAAGTATGAAAAGCTATAGGAGCTCATAGGATGAGCACATCACTCCTGTAGGGACTCAATGAAGGTGCACTTTGATAGGGCATTGAAGGATAAGCAGGATATAAACAGAGACAATGAAGGGCATTCCAGGAAGAGGTTATGGTTGAGAGAAAATATGCTTGAGCCATGGTTGGGAAAGATACAATCAGAATCTCAGATTTATTGAGCAACAACCCTGTTGTTTCTGATTTTCTATTAAAAGTCCCTGAAAACCCTACAGGCTTCTCTTTTCTTATTACCATTGACAAGGAGCCATTGTAAACCTACCTATCTTCCAGACCCCAGTGATGTACACATCTCAGGTTCTATATACCTCCATCTTCGTGTTCTTCTGCCCCAAAATGGCTTTACAGAACAATCATATGTTTTCAGGTATATTTTGGTGACACATGAGTCTCAAGTACCCCAATGATGTAGGCCTCCCATCCCATCCCAGAGGCCACCTGATCCCTATAGGAAAGGGATACCTAGGGCATTTCTCCACATTTTTTCTATTACTCCCGTTCATTAGAATCCTACACGTCCTATGTGTTACCTGCTCCTTTAAGCCTCTTATGTCTCTAACGGGACATATATCTCCTTCCTCTGAATCTCTATAGCCGCTGCTTCCTCTTCACATTCTGTACTGTGCACTCAGTGATGTGAATTATGTGAATGGCTTACCCCCTCCACCCCACAGGATATAGGGAGACCAAAAGGAAAGAGCCCATGTGTAATCATGTCTCTCAGGGCTGACTGACACGTTTGTGCTCTCACCCTTGTGAGTTTTAACAAGCAATGTCAGGGCTCTATCATAGACCATGGCAAACCAGCATGAAAGGCTCTGCTTATCATAGGAAGCCAGATGAACTTTTTTTTCTATAAGAGGATGGAGGCAGGAGAGTTTCTGAGCCCAGGGGAATCACAACAAGGGAGATCAGTAGCATGAGTTTGAGAAGCAGAACTCTGTCAATCTATCCACAAGCAAAGTTAGCTTGTCCCTATAAGAAACTGATGATCAGATACATTGTGCACTTTCCTACCAGCCAAAAGAATTGGCCTGCCGCTGTCTGGTGTTTTCAAGGCAAGCTCTCACTTTCTAAAGAACGAAGGAGCCAAAGAATGAAGAGATACCAGAAGTAGGGATTTAAGGGCTGCTCTGGAAATACAGATCCAAGAGAACCACTAGGTAGTCAGTGCATTCATGGAAGTAGCACCTAACTCTGCTTCCTTCTGTAAAAGAAGGGCATTTTTCTGGTCCAATATGGCCACAGATAGGCAGTGAACTAACTTCAAGACTCATTGGTGCAAATATTCTTATTATGAATCTCTGGGATTCCTTCAAATACATTTCTTCAGGACCCCATAGGTTCTAAT
This sequence comes from Homo sapiens, assembly GCF_000001405.40. Lineage (NCBI taxonomy): Eukaryota > Metazoa > Chordata > Mammalia > Primates > Hominidae > Homo > Homo sapiens. Next base: position 21,245,203 of record NC_000002.12, on the reverse strand, counting down.
CCAGTTGAATTGACTGGCCTCTTCCCGCTAAAAGATCTTCCTTACTATATCAAATTGACCACATTATAAGGTGTCAAGATCGCTAGAGTTAGGCATCTTGTCCCAGTCCTCTCTGTGACCCTCAGTGTCTGACCCTAAGGAAGTGCTCACCAAAATAACTGGGAACTGACAAAGCAAATTTCTCAGTGAAAAAAGAAAAAAAATTTGGGCTAGAGATCCTATAAATCCTTATTGAAAATATATGCAGAAGAGAGTTGTGCCCTTAAATAATCATTATGCATTATTTTTATGGTGTTATGATTTCAATTTCTTCAAATGAGAACATTCCTTTTTATTATAAAAGCATGCTCTTTATTTATGTAAATCCAAAAGATACTGACATATTTAAGGAAGTGAATACAAGTGCCCTGGAATTCCATCCTTCAAAGACAATCAGCACTAACACTTTTTTGCTGTTTCTATGTAGTACTATATTCATACATATTTTTGAATGCCTATACACACATATTCTTAAAATGAGGTCATTCTCTTTATACTATAAAGCTGACTTTCTTAATATAATATATTGTGGGCATGTTTCCATGTAGGTACACAAATAATTACCTTATTTTAGACAGTTTCAAAGAATTTTATCATATAGATGTAACAATTTGTTTAATCTCTATAAACAGGTGTTTAGGTGATTTTCATTTTTTGTTAGCAAAAACATTGCTACAAATAAACACCTTTTGCATAAATTCTTGCACGCTTGAACAGTAATTTCTTTAGGATTTGTTTCTAGAAATAGAATTGCTGAGTAAAAAGTGATGTAAATTTTAAATGTCAGGTCTTGCAAAATTGTTCTCTAAAAACTGTGCAATGTGTATTTTCAAACCAGAAGTTGAAATGCCTGTTTGCTTACACCCTTATCAACAGTGGATATTATCAATCCTTTAAATCTTTAGCAAGACAATAAGTGAAAAGTTATATATTATTGTTGTTTTAAATTACATCTTTGACTATGGAACATTTTTTCAGTTGTTTATTGGCCTTTTTGTACTTTGATAAATTACCTTTGCATGTATTTTGCTCATTTTCTCTTGGGTTGTTCATCTTTTCACTATTGACTTGTAGGAATTTTTTATGCTTTTAAAATGTTAACTCATTGTATGGCATATTAACTATATATGGTTCCAGTTTATGCCTTGTGGGTAGTAGATACATGATAAATATTGGTTGACTGAATGAATGAATGTTATAATTTGTCATACAGAAATTCTAGATTTTATGAAGTCAAATTTGTGTTCATTTCCTTTGTGGTTTCTGGCCTTGGTGCCAAGCAATGAAAAGCTTTTCTACTGAAAAGATTAAGAGGAAATGTTCTTCTCATAATAGGATTTCTGAAAAATTTAATATTTAATCCAGCTGAGCTTTATTAATGTGTAAAATGGATTTCTTGCTAACTCAGGCCAATTCTTCCAAGATCATTGACTAAGAAATCAACATTTTTCCATTGATTAGAAGTGCTAGCTCCATCATATATAAAACTCTAATATAAACTAGGCTCTGTTTGTGAATTTTCTCTTTTCTTTCATTTATCTACATATTCCTATGTCAGTACCATATTATTGCCACCACATTTACTTCGCAGTATACTGTGATATCTGGTAGGGCATATCCCCCCAAGCTTTTTTCCAAAAATTTTCTGCCCATTATTATTTAAATTTTCCTTCAAGAAGAAAGTAAAAGTCAATTTGTCAATATTTTAAACACTTGAAAATGGTATTGAATTAGCACTAAATGTATAGAATATTTTGGCCAAAATCAACATCGTCAGAGTAGTTTTCAACTAAGGAAGATACACAGATTTTTAAAAATCAGCTCTCCACAAATTTGCATGGCTCTGAATGTATCAATCATTTTTAAGCTAATTACAATAAAGTCTAATTATTACCATTAAATTATTATATCCATTTGACATCAAAGATTGAATGCTAATTATAAAACAAATTTATTCTACATTGACATTTGTTTCCAGTTACTGGATGACAGCTTTGTTCAAATATGACACCTCGTTGAAGACAGGTCCTCTAATAATTAAAATATTTGTGACCTCCCTAACAGATAAAACTTCCCCCAAGAGTGGGCCCATGATGGGAGGTATACTTTCAGGTACAGGTGATTATAATAGCAGTGATGATAGGATTACAGAGTTGTGCATATTTATAGTGGGCACACATGGGTAACATCTGATCAGTTTATTCAGTCTTTCTAGAAAAATGAGGCTTATGGGGAACACTGCCAATATCTAGGGGAACAATGTTGGGGTTTTTGTAGGCTATTATGGTCCAAAGTTAGACCCATCCTGAAGTTCTTTTATTCCTTCCCTGTCTAATGTGCATTAAGATATTAAGCAAATGGGAAAAAAAATCTCTAAAATACAAATTGAATGAAAGTTATTTCTGCTCTATAAAACCTACCACATAAAGAGGTGTGCCTTGCATAGTTAAAAATCCTACTGGAGAGACTAGATTTGAGTACCAGAATTAAGAGACCTGTGGCATTCCTCACTTTAAGATTATCCTAAAGTATTCAACCCTCTCCCCCTTGCCTATCTTATATCTGTAATGAAAGGAAATTCAACAGGGAAGGAGGTCCCAGAGAGATTTTGCAAGTAGGGGCACAGACATGCAAAGTTTTAGCAGTAAAAATAAACAAGGCAAATATGTAATCAGTGGCTTCCAGTTGGGAAGTAATGAAAGATAAAAATTGAAATACAGGATAATGTATAATCACAGATAGACATGAATCTCAGTCAAATAACAAAGGAGAAAACGGTCCCTCAAGCAAAGAAATGAAGAGTCTCCATACGGAGCTCCTTGACATGAGACAAGATTCAAATAGAATTAAAATATAAATATTAGGAAACACTATCAAATCTAGATTCAATCATTCTTTCATTTTTTTCAAAAACTGTTTATTGCATAAGAATTCAGCAGTGACCAAATTCCTGCATAGAACTTTCATGAAGAGAGGAGAGAGTCGGAGTAAACAGTATACAAGCAAATACGCAAATATAGTGTTCTGTCATGTCAAGAGCTAGGAAAAAAGGTCAAACAGGATAAGGAAATAGGGAATTGTAAGAAGGTGTTATTTTAGCCTGGTGGCCAAGGATAAGCTCTCAGATGAGACGGACAGACCTAAACAAAATCAGTACATGAGCCACATGAATATCTGAAGGAAGAGCCTTTAAGATAGAGGATATAGGAGAGGCAAGGACTCCCCAAATCAGGAGGGCATAGGGCTTGGTGTGGCTCATGGAAGCAGTAATTGAGTTGAATGGTGGAAAATGAGGCCAGAAAGACAGCTATGGGCCAGAGTACAGAAGTCCATATAAGACTTGGTAGGTATCTGGAAGGTGAAAGATCTCTACAATGAGAATTACAAAACACTGCCCAAATAAATCAGAGATGACACAAACAAATGTAAAAACATTCCACGATCATGGATAGGATGAATCGGTATTGTTAAAATGGCCATGTTTTCCAAAGGAATTTACAGATGCTATGTGGTTCCTATTAAACGACCAATGACATTACTGATAGAACTAAAACAAACTATTTAAAAATTCATATGGAAGCAAAAAAAAGAGCCTGAATAGCCAAGGCAATCCTATGCAAAAAGAACAAAGTGACAGGCATCATGCTACCCAATTTCAAACTATACTACAAGGCTACAGTAACCAAAACAGCATGGTACTGTTACAAAAACACACACATAGACCAGCAGAAAAGAATAGAGAGCCCAGAAACAAGGCTGCACATTTAAAACCATCTGATCTATTCACAATAGCAAAGACTTGGAACCAACTCAAATGTCCAACAATGATAGACTGGATTAAGAAAATGTGGCATATATACACCATGGAATACTATGCAGCCATAAAAATGATGAGTTCATGTCCTTTGTAGGGACATGGATGAAGCTGGAAACCATCACTCTCAGCAAACTATCGCAAGGACAAAAAACCAAACACTGCATGTTCTCACTCATAGGTGGGAATTGAAAAATGAGAACACATGGACACAGGAAGGGGAACCTCACACACTGAGGACTGTTGTGGGGTTGGGGGAGGGGGGAGGGATAGCATTAGGAGATATACCTAATGCTAAATGACGAGTTACTGGGTGCAGCACACCAACATGGCACATGTATACATATGTAACAAACCTGCACGTTGTGCACATGTACCCTAAAACTTAAAGTATAATAATAATAATAATAATAATAATAATAATAATAATAACAAACCATCTGATATTTGACAAAGCTGACAAAAACAAGTGGTGGAGCAAGGACACCCTACTCAAGAAATGGTGGTATGATAACTGGCTAGCCATATGCAGAAGATTAATACTGGTCCCCTTCCTTACACTATACACAAAAATCAGCTCAAGATGGATTAAAGACTTAAATGTGAAACCCAAAACTAGAAAAACCCTGCAAGACAACCTAGGCAATACCATTCTGGACATAAAAGCTGGCAAAGATTTCATGACAAAAGTGCCAAAAGCAATCTCAACAAAAAGTACAAATTGACAAATGGAATCTAATTAAACTGAAGAGATTCTGCACAGCAAAAGAAACTATCAACAGAGTAAACAGACAAGCTACAGAATGAAAGAAAAACTTTGTAAACTATGCATCTGACAAACGTCTGATACCCAGCATCTATAAGGAAGTTCAACAAATTTACAAGAAAAAAAAAAAAAATACCCCATTAAAAAGTGGGCAAAAGACATAAAGATACACTTTTCAAAAGAAGACATACATGCAGCCAACAAGCATAGGAATAAAAACTCACTATCACTGATCACTAGCGAAACCCAAATCAAACCCACAACAAGATACCATCTCACACCAGTTAGAATGACAATTATTAAAAAGTCAAAAAATAACAGATGCTGACAAGGTTGCAGAGAAAAGGGAACACTTATACATTATTGGTGGGAGTGTAAATTAGTTCAACCATTGTGGAAAGCAGGGTGGGGATTCCTCAAAGAGGTAAAACAGAACTACTATTCAACCCAGCAATCTCATGACTGGGTATACACCCAAAGGAATATAAATCATTCTATCATAAAGACACTTGCATGCATATGTTCATTACAGCACTATTCACAACAGCAAAGACATGGAATCAACCTAAATGTCGATCAGTGGTAGACTGGATAAAGAAAATGTAGTATATATACACTATGGAATACTATGCAGCCATGAAAAAGAATGAGATCATGTCCTTTGCAGGAACATGGGTGGAGATGGAGGCCATTATTCTTAGCAAACTAGCACAAGAGCAGAAAACCAAATACTGCATGTTTTCACTTATAAGTGGGAGCTAACTGATGACAACACATGGACACAAAGAAGTAAACAACAGACACTGGGGCCTACTTGAGGGTGGAGAGTGGGAGGGAGAAGAGGATAAGAAAAAATAACTATAACTATTGGGTACTAGGCTTAGTACCCAGGTGATGAAATAATCTGCACAAGAAGCCCCCGTGACACTAGTTTACCTACATAACAAACCTGCACATGTACCTCTGAACCTAAAATAAATGTTTTTAACAAAGAATTTGAATTTGTTCTAAGCATGATGAGAATCCCATGGAGGCCTCTGAGAAAGAGAAAAACATAATCTGATTATGTTTCTTTAAAAAACAAGACTCTGGCTGCTATATGGAGAAGAAGAAGAAGGAAGGCAAGAGTGGAGGAAGAAAGACAAGTTAGAAGTCCAGGCAAGGGGAAAATGCAGCTTGGAGTAAGGAGGTCACAGTACAAGAGGTAAGAAGTAGGATTTGGGATCTATGTTAAGATTACAATTAACAATATTTGCTGATTAACAGGATATTTCCAAGGTTTGGGATGAGCAACTGGGTTAATGGCCTAAATCTCCCATGTCATCCCTCATCTCTCTATGGCTCTTCAAATCCTATTGTCTGACCCCATCTTCTACCCCTTCTCAATTCCCTTACACAGGCCATCTGGAACTTGCAGTCCAGCATCGTCCCTGATATCCTCAGCCCTTTTAGTGAGTATTCCCTATGACTTCTCCCTCTACCTGAAATCTGCCTTACCCCTGAAGGCACTGTTCCTTACAATTGGCTGATGTGATGGCTATTTACTTTCCCACACTCTTCACACTTCTGGACCAGGAAATAATAGGTATTCTCCATGCTCCTCATTGCCACTTCTCACTAATTAAAAAATGAGAAATTCAGAAACTGAGCCACAAAAGCACCAGTGAAAGTCTACTTCTTATTTGCAAAATCCTTATTGAGGATGCTTATCATCTTTACATCATGGCTGACAGCCAAGTTCGAAATTGAGTCAAAGATTTTAGGAACACAACACCAGGCTTGAGTTTTCATTTTCTCTTATAAATGCACCATTGTAAACTAAGCAAAAAGTGAAGCAAAAAGTGAGGGGCATGCACAAGCACAGCCCTCAGAGCATCAACTGCATCCCCAAAACACAGGGATACCATCTCCAAGGCCCATTCATTAATCCATGGGGAATGGCTGCCAGGGGAAGATGTAGTTGGTGAGATCCTAACCACAAGTTTTGTCTCATTAGAATTTCCTAGCTGTGCTAAATCAGTTCTGCTATGCAAAGTATCTACATATGTATGTAGGCAGGCACGGACTTTTTTTTGCAGGTCCACACATAAGCAAGGAATATTTCCCCAAGGGAAATAAATCTCTTGGGGCCATCTCACTGTGACACTATCCACAGCCAAGAAGATCCTACATTTTGCAAGTGAGAAAGTGGAGGGTTCCTGTGACATATAGCCCATCCTCCAGAGAGCTACTCCAGCTTTACAAGGCCTGGTCCTGTCCACTATACGCAGGGGCAAAGCTGAAGCTTTCTGCCATCTTCTCAGCTCCCTGCTTTCTGGAATATCTCCTACTTCTAATAACTCATTTCATGTATTTGACTAATTAAAGGATGGCCCACGGCTCTTAAGTATTCCCACGGTAACCTTCACTTAGCCCTCTCATAGCACTCATGGCATGCTATCTGCTTATATGACTGTCTCATTAAACCATGAGTTCCTGGAGGGTATCTGTATTCCGAGCACTGGGCCTCTCATAGAATTGGTATCAATGCATAAAGAGGCAATATCATTAGTTATGTGAAATGCTTAGTAAAATGCACATTGCCAAGAGGATGTATTTTCAATCACTCTTAACCGTAGCTCCATACACCAAGAAACTACCCTTTCTGGGGAGTTTCCATGAAGTTTTCTTACTTTTCTTCTTTATATAAGCTTATCTTTCAAGTTTCCCTCAGATGTACGCCACACTTAATATGAGGTTGGTGCAAAAGTAATCACGGTTTTTGCCATCAATTAATGGCTCATTGCACTATCGTAATAGTAAGTCAATGGGAAAACTTACTATGAAATGTGAATGACTAAAAAGTAAGAGTTTTCTTTCCCTTCTACATCAGTCAATTTCTGAAGTCCAAAATCTGCAGGGCAAACAGGCAGGCTGGAAACTCAGACGGGATTAAAGTTGTATGTTTGAGTTCGAAATCTACAGAGCAGTACAGCAGGCTGGAGTAAAAGTGTGAAGGCAGAATTTCTTCTTCTCCAGGAAACTTCAGTTTTTGCTCTTAAGGCCTTCAACTGATTCAGAGAAACCCACCCACATTATCAAGGGTCATCTCCTTTAAGTCAACCGGTTGTGCTGTTCATCACATCTACAAAATAGTCACAGAGCAATATCTAAACTAGTGTTTGACCAAACAATTGGGCACTGTAGCCTAGCCAAGTCGACACATAAAACTTAATCAGCACACCTTCATTCTGGGGATGGCACAGAACTTGCACACTCACTATAACCAACTAGAACACAGGCAAAATGTATTAAGCAGCTAGTTTAATATTCGGGGTAGGAATAGAAATTGAGAAGCTGGTTCTTAGATTTACATCAAAACACAAAGTACCTAGGCTAGCCGAAACAACTTCTAAAAGGAACAAAATTGGAAAACTAATGCTACCTTTTATCAAGTCTTAACACAGAATTAAAGGAATCAAGATGGTTTGGTAGTGGCATAAGGATGGCCACACAGATATACTGAATAGAATGCAGAGTCCAAAAATATATACATACATGCTCAATTGATTTTTAACAAGTGCCAAGGTAATTCAATTTGAAAGGATGCTTTTTTTCAATAAATGATGCTGAAAGAACTGGATATTCATTTAAAACAAATACGAACTTTGATTCTTACCACACCTCATACACACAATAAATAGTGAGAAGTAAATCAGAGACCTAAACATAAAAAGCTAGAATGTTAAAACTTTCTGAAGAAAATATAGGAAAAAACATGTATAATGTTGGAATAGGCAAAAATTCCTTAGATAGCATGGCAAAGTCTTAAACTCTAAAAGAATAGGATTCCGTCAACTGATTAAGATCTGCTCTTTGAAAAACAACATGAAGAAAACAAAGTGGCAGAATATTTCAATAAATGTATCTGATAAAGACTGGTATCCAGAACATAGTATTTTTTAAGCCTACAATTCAAGAATAAAACAACAAATAACCCAAATTTTAAAATGGGCAAACTTTGGAAAAGACACTTAAGCACAGAAAAAGATGTTCAATGTGACCAGTAATAAGAACAAAATGCAATTTAAACTATTAATTTGATGCTACCGCATGCTCACTAAAATGCTGAAAATCTGAAAAGTTAACAGCACAAATGTTGGTGGAGCAACTTAAACTTTTATGCATTGCTGGTGGGAATTTAAATAGTAAAATCAACTCAGAAAACAATTTGGCAATTTCTTCAAAGTTAAATAAGTACCTATCCTATGTCCCAGCAATTTCATTCCAGGTGTTTACTCAAGAAAAAATGAAAATATATGCCCACATAGAGACTTGTAGAGGAATATCTTTAGTAAAATTATTTATAAGAGTCACAAATTGAAAACAACCCACATGCCCATAAACAGGAGTATAAAGAAATTGTGGCATATTTATACCATGTAATACTATTCACTAGTTAAATAGAAAAATCTATTGTTATCGACAACATGGATGAATCTCACAAAAGCTGTAATGAAGGAAAGAAACTGCACTGAACAAAATACACCCTGAATTATTTATTTTACATGAAGATCAAGAGGAGAAAAATCTACTCTACACAGATAAAGCCCAGAACAGTAGCTGCCTTTGGCTGGGAAAGAATTTTTTAGAAAGAGGGATGAGAGCATTCTGGGATGAGAGTGAGGTCTTGATAAAGATGTTTGTTACAGGAATTTATACATTTCTCAAAACTCAACAAACCACACACTTAAAATGGGTCTATTTTATTCATGTAAATCATACCTAAATGAAAAAATAAAGTATTCCTTGATAATAGCAACAATTCAAATGTAATATTTATATATGCCATTTATAATAGAAAAATTCTAAGTGAATGTAGCCATACACAAGTCTTCCCAAATTAATCTATCAATAACGTCAACAGAATATTTTGCAGAACTCAACAAGCTAATATTAAAATTTATATTAAAGAAGAAAAGGCCAAAAGTTATCACAATAATTGTGAATTAAAAGACTGAATAACGCAGCATGTCCTGACAAATGTGGAGACTGACTCTAAAGCTACAGCAAATAAGGCAATGTGATATTAGCACAGGAATAAGCAAACAAACAAAAAACAAGTATACAGAAATGTATACAGAACACAGGTAGCACTAAAATCCATAGTTAGACTAGCCAATTGTGTTGGGAAAACTATTTATCTACACGGAAAAAATTATGTCCCCACTTCACACTATACATTCATGTCGGTATTAAATAAACTAAAAAGATAAGAGTGGGACTTTAAAACTTTTAGATAAAAAGATAAATCCATACCTTTATGGCTGTGAGGTATTATAGAAAAGAATTTAAGAACATACATGCATGCGTGTGTATGCATGCACATAGACACAGTAACAGATAACACATAGACACAGTAACAGATAAGACTGATATATCTGGCTCTATCAATTATTTATTACTTATTAACAAACCACCCAAAACTTAATGGCTTATTATGCTCACAAATCTGCAGTGTAAGTAGGCCTTGTAAGCAGGGATGACTTGTCTCTTCTCCACATCTAGTGCTACTTGACTGAGGGTAACCCTCTGTCAGGATGGCTCTCTCACAGGCTGGAGAGCTCATGCAGGCTGGCAGCTGCAAGCTCAGCTGGAGCTGCAGACCAGGGGCCTTGGTTCCTTGCCTCATCAGCCTCCCCGTAGTCCGCTTGCACTTCTTCACAGCATGAGGGCTGAATTCCAAGACAAAGTATTCCAAGATAACCTGGCAGAAATAGCATTTTTGTGTGTGACTTGGCATTAGAAGTCACCTAACAACACTTCTGCCAAACTGTACTGGTCAAGGCAGTCACAGGGTCTCTCCCAATTTTCTGTGTAAGAGACATAGGTTCCATCTTTTGAGGGAGTGGCAAAGTTCTAGAAGAGTCTGTTGGACAGCAGACACCCTTGTGGCTATCTTTGGAAAATACAATCTGTCACACCGATTAAATTAAAAACAAAAATGTCACAAAGATTAAAAAAAGCTACAGACTAGCAGAAGCATTCAACACATGCTACTGTGAAATATATATCCACAATGTATAAAGAACCCATACAAAGCAATATTAAAAATGCAAACAATCCAGTAAAGAAAATAGTAGAGGATACCAATAGATTTCTTATAGAACAGGAAAGCCAAAAGACCGATAAAAATATGGAAAAATGCTCAACCACAGTTTCAACTTCATTTCTAAGTCTTCTGGGAAACATAAATTACAAAAATTAGAAATAATTTTAAGTACAACAGATTGGCAAAAGCAGCAAGTCAATGTCAAGTGTTTGCAATGACGAAAAGAAACCAGAAATCTTACATACTATTTGTCAGAGTTTTAAGTGATTACTTTCGAGTATTATGTAACTCTGGTAAAGCTGATGATATACACAACCAATTACTCAATTTCCACCTCCAGCTTTATATGTAGAGAACACTCACATACATGCAGTAAGAGAGACTGCTACAGAAGAATGTTTATTGCAGTATTGTTTGGAATCGTGAAAAATTAAAAACAATGCAAATGTATATCAGTAAAAGAATGGCTGTATAAATTGTGTATGTTTGTGCAATGAAATATCATATACCGTAGTAGTCATTATAAAAGAAATGAAGTAGCTCTACAATAATAAAAATCATAATACATGCAAGAATATTGAGCAAAAAAGCAAGTTGCAGAATAGTATGTCAATATAATGTCATTTACGTAAAGTTGGAAAACATGAAAAACAATCCTATGTATTGTTTAGGAATATATACATATTTTGAAAACTGTGAAACCCATGTACAGTCATACTAAACACAAAATTTAAAATAGTAATTACCTTCAGAAAGGGAAGAAAGAAGGATGTACAATGAGATCAGATGTGGGTGCCCAGCATCCTCCAGCTTCAAGCAAAAGTTTTTGTTACATTAAAATCAGATGCAAAGATGGCAACATTTTAATATTGGTAATGGTTGTTTATTATCCTCAAGGACACAATTCTGTACATTTGAAATATATCTTAATAAAGTCCCATGTTTCTATACCAAAGCTCCACGGAATGAACCTAATAGTTAATCTAATCCAACAATCCTTTCCAACATGGTATAAAACTCATTTTACAGATGTAGAAACTGATGTCCAGAAAGAAGACTAGACTTCCTTAAAGCTACGTGGTGAGTTACTAATGTTAATGAGACAAGGGAAGTCTCCTGACTCCCAGATTAGCCCTCTTCCTCTATACTGTACTCTTCAGGAGGATTTTAAAATGTGATCTTGGCTGCAACTCTCTGACCCAGACAAGAGTGACAGGTGTGAAAATTATTTCTGAAGCAAATCATACAGAAGAGGAATGGCAACTCGATGATCCTTCATACCTAGGTTGAATTATAGATCTAGGTAGAGCACGGCCTAAAACTCTGCCATTAAATAATCATTCTTTTGACTTCATCTTTGCCTACAGGAGGTATGAGCCCTTCAATCCTCAGAGTAAGTTTAGAATGGTACAGAGCTGATGACTTCTAAGAGAAAAGGGGAAAGTGTGGTAGGGGACAAGGCTGGACCCTCCACACAAGTACGTGGGATTTTACTGAAGCCCATTCATTTTACCTCAGCTAAAATCATTTAGGGACCCCCTTTAGACCTGAGTGTGGGGGTCCCAGAGAAAATACCCAATCATTCTACAGTCTAGGAAACTGACTAGAATGTGGCAGAGAACCAACTTCTATTTCCAGACAACATATTATAATTTTTGAAGTCTTGTAAATAATTTAAGTAGCCTAATACTCATTATCTTTAATGTATTCTTCAGAACTGCTTCCATGCAATACTGATATGTGAGCTACTTTGTTTCCTTTTCCTCTTTTTTTTAGCTTAATGAAGCTTTTAGTCTTATTGTAAGCAGCATCATTTATAATGGAAAATAGCCTCCTTGGGAAGCACAACAAAATCTCTCCCAAAAATAATCGAAGAGAAAGGCAAACAAATTGTTTAGATCTTCCTCCCAGTTTTCCACCTGACCAAAAGCTGTCAAAAACTCTGGCTGGGATCCTGGGGTTATGAAGGGCAGTATCAATCCTACTAACACATAGTACATAATGGTCACATATTCCACCAGCATGTGGCTTCACAAAGCAGCAGGGGAAGGAGACAGAGGTGGCAGTCCCTGTTCTGACACAAATCACTAAGTGACCTTGGGCAAGTCACATTAGCCTCCCTGAGCCCCTCTCTTCATCTGTCAAATTGGCATCATGATACTGACATATACTACACAGAGCTTTCAAAGTTTAGATAAGTGCAGGAAGCAGGTTGGAAATACAACTGTTTCTGTTTGCAAGTGTCTGGGAGATGGCAAAGGTTCTGTGCTAGTGTGTGTGACTCCAAAAGTCACTGGGCCAGTCAAAAAAAAAAGAAAAGAAAACAGGAAGAGAAAGAGGAACCTGAAGGCTATTTGAATCTTCTGTGACCAAAAGTCCTTCTCCTACTCCACTTTATTTGCTGTTCTATTATTCATCCTTCAACTTACCCTACCCTATCCTTTGTATCTGTCTCAAGACAGGGTCCCAAGACAGGGTCCTAGTCACCCTACAAGTAGCTGCTCAGGGGGCTTCCATTGCCAGTGGCCCAATTCCCCCACTCCTTTATTCATTTGTCACACCATTGAACAGCTCTAGGATTCAACTGTTGCATAACACATCACATTTCTACCTCTTTTTACTCAATCACTTTAACCCAAAAGGGGGTTCTTCACAATTAGGTGGAAATAATTCAAATCTGCTGATTTCTACTTTAAAAGCACCATAATAATACTGAAGCAAATCTTACAACTACCCCCCAATTCCAGCTATGCTCAAAACTGGACTATATTTTCCTGAGTTTTCTTAATCTGCATTCTAGATTAATTAATGCTCTGTGCCTTTCTTCCCAATTGTCCTTTCATTGATGCTTGCAATAAACCTGAGATAGACAAAGAGAAATCAAGGCACCATCCAGTTATGAGGTTTCTTCCTGGGCCCAAAGAACATCATTAACCTTTGCCCTACATCCTCCCTCTCTCCATAAACAGATGCTCACAACACTTGTACCTGGCTGATGACTCTCATCTCCTGTGCTACAGTGGCAGCGTGCATTTTTTTTAATTTGAAAAAGGTGATTTTAATTTCTAGTCATATTTCTCATGAACACTGAAAACTCTCCCTATGATATTTGACCCGTATATTAAGAAGTCATGCTCTGAGCATATTTTAATCAGTTAAGGTAAATCAGTTAAGTCATTTGATGCTTTACTTCTTGCTAAATTTATAATATCATTTCTTTGAAATCAATTTCTGCAGTTTAAATAAGTCACTTGTTCTTGATCTTCTGAATTTTCTTTAATATAAAATTCAGACTGATCTGCAAGAAATTTCAAGATTAAAGTACGGTAAAGGTGGGCTAGATGCTGCACTTTATGTGATATAATAATTATTTTTATCGCACCACCTATATTTCACTAAGGAAATGTAATAAACAGGAGAAAAATACTGTTAAATAGAGAGGTTTTCTTGTTTTCTACATGACTGAATCTTCTGATATTTTCATTACAGATTCCAAATAGAAACAAATCACTGTGTGCCTGATTTTACACAGTACTGGGCTAAGGGCTATAAAAAGGAACTTCAATACATGTTTATCGAGTACGTGCAATGTGCCAGTCACTGTGCTTGGTTGGGGATAGGTGTGAACAAGATAGAGTCTCTGACCTTTAGCAGCTTACAGTCTGGTGGGGGAATGCAGTCACGTAAAAAGTTATAATTCCATATGATAAATGCTATTAAAAAGGAAAGCAAGACCCAGAGAAGGGACCCTATCCCAGACTACCAAGAGGTCAGAAAACATTAGTAGCTGGTTTAGAGGAAGAGGGAAAGGATGAAAATAACAAAGTGAGACAGGAGGCCAGACACTGAGGGCCTTGTAGGTTATATTAAGAACTTGACTTCACTTTGAGAGAGATGTAAAGTTATCGCAAAATCTTTAAACAGAGAATAAGCATAATTAGGTTTTTGAAAACAAAAAAACATTCTGTCAGTAGTATGGAGATGAATTCAAAGAGGAGATAGTCTGGAGGCATGAAAAATTAGGACAGAGATGGTAGCAGCCTGCTCTGGGGTTGGCAGTAAAGTTAGAATAAAAATGGTTTTGCTAAATATTTAGTAGAATCACTAGGACATGGTGATTGGTTGAATGTAAGAAGAAGGATTCAAGAATGATGCAATCATAGAAGTAGGGAAAGGATATGGGCTATTTGAATCGTCTATGGCACATCCCAATGAGATTCTGAATAATACATAGATCTGGAGCCCAAAAGAAACATAGGGTCTAGATGAATAGTTGTGAACACTGTCACTTACAGGTGTAATTGAAATGAAGAAGATTGCCAGGGGAGTGTGATGGTGAAAGGGAGTGTGTAGAGTGGAAGAGAAGGTCCAAAACAAAACCCGGAGAAGCCTCAACACTGAAAGGACCCCAATGAGGTTAAAGAACTTGCAAATAAGACTGAAAATTACCAGCTAGAGATGTAGGAGGAAACAAGGGGAGTGCAGTGAGCATGGATGGCCTAGGAACCGTGGCAATAACAAGCAGATATTTTAAAAGGAAGAAAAATTGCTCAGACACCAATGGGCAACATACCATGTAGCTGAAAAGATGATCTTCATCAGTGGCCGTGCATTTTAGGTAATCAGGATTCAGCAAAGGAAAACTCCCAGATTAAAATAATTAAAGCACCTACAATTAGTAAGTATCCCTGCACATCCAAGGATTCACCCCCCAGTTCTGTGAAGGGAGCTGACCTTGGGATCAGATAGATCTGAGTCAAAATCCTATCCCTGTCAGTGACAAGAGATGCGATCTTAGGACAGTCATATGCACTCAGACTTTCCTCATCTGCAAAATGAAAATAATACCTCCACTGCAGGACTGTTGCAAAGATTACAGATATAAAGAGCTTAGCACTGGGTTTACCACATTGCAATGCTTATTAGTAAATGTCTGTTGAATCTGAATGCATTATTTTACAAGAGGCCCCTATCCTCCAGAGCCTTACAATTCTTGCACAGGAGAGGTCACTAAACTATTGCGCCTAATTGCAGGCTTGGCACTTCTTCAGTCTACTCTCTCAGATTCCATTAAAATACAGTCATCATCTATAAAAACAAGAAGGATAGGAGGCTGAAATTCAGAAAACAAGGCCTTGTAAAATGCATGTAGCACTGTCACAGCTCTAAGCATGTATGGCCAAAGGCAATCAACAGCAGCAAGCACAGTGTGTAGAGCCTGCTGCCTGGCTGGAGTGAGGGCAAGAGAAAAGGTGGTAGCAATAGGACCACTGTGTCTTTCTGGGGAGAAAGTGATAACTCCTAAGAAAAGTTTCTTCAGATCTCATTTGTCACATGCAAGTTAATAAAATAATGTAGTCAAGTTTCCTGGAAAGGAAGCAAAAGGATCTATAAACCTATCTATTCCTATTTTACTCATGCCTTTCTCTCTGAACCTACAAGAATCAGGAAGGCCAGAGTTCTGATCTGAGTTCAGCCACCATCTAGCCATGTTCTTTGGGTATATTGCTTACTATTTCTAAGCTTTGGTTTCCTCAATTACAAGATGGAGATTAAAAACAGTTTATCAAGCACACATAAAATAATATATATTAAATGCTAAGCATAAATCTTGGACAAAGTAGGTATTCAAATGATTGACTGCAGTTCAGTCATGTTAACAAGGGTCACAGCAACTCCGCCTCTTGGCCATGTCCTTCTCTGTCTCTGCAATCCTTCCCCCCACACTTTTCATCCTATGGCAATCCTCTCAGCAGGGCCTGTGCAGCTGCTATCAGGTCAACCAGCTGTGTACTGCAGAGAGCAGAGTCGTTTCCTGCCCTAAAATAAAGAGTCACCAAAGGCCAAAGGCCACTGTGGTATCATATCAGAAGCAGCCCCACCTCGGGGAGGGCCTCAACTCTGTTGCTTGAAAATACCTGGAACCACACACAAGTCACTCAGCTTCCGTGAGTTCGTTTCCACATACATACAGCACAAATACTAACACTGACCTCCACAAGGCTGTTAAGAGAATTACATGACAATATTTATGTAAAGAGGCTGGGAAGTTGTGAAATGGTATATGAATAAGAAAATTAGTAGTAGTGCTACCCAGATGCACAGTGGCTGCTATTTTCTGTTGTTATCACACTACTGCAGAGCATGCTACTGGAAAACCCAGCAGATCCCACTGGCACTCAAAACAAAAGGGTTGTCTTCTTTGAGCACTTATAGAAGGCAAGGGTTGCTGAATTTTCCTTTGGCACGTCTAAACTAGAATGCTTTTCACCTTTTACTTTACCTTATTACCTTTTAATGTATTATTTTGAAATAATTATAGACTCACGAGAAATTACAAAAATTATACAGAGATGTCCTCTATACCCACCGCTCAATTTCCCCCAATAGTGACACGTTACATAACTATAGCGCATTATGAAAACCAGTAAATAAAGATTTAAAGATTTAGAAAATGATACTGTAAAATGATAAAAACAAAACATTTTGGAGTAGATTAACCAAAACCCTGAAAATCATAAAAGAAAATAAATCAAGAAATGTAACTATATACAAATATTTTAAAATTCTAAATGAAAAAATATAAACAGAATTACAGGACAAATTGAAAAATGAAAAACTGCAATATATGTAACAAAGTTCTAATTTCTATAAAATGAAAGTAAATAAAGGCAATTTGGCAACACATGTCGTAATGTAAAACACCCAGGCACTTTAATTCAGCATTTCTGGGTATTTATCGTATTTCTATATTGGTAGATACAAGCTAAGGTATATGGTACTCATTGCAGCAGTGCTAATAATATAAAAAATGTTTAATAATATATCAAGTAGGCTGTTTTTTATAAACTATATTTATATCCACATAAAAGAATGTCATGAAACTATTAAAAGAAAAATATTGCATGATTTCACTCATATGTGGAATATATCTTTAAAAAGCTAAATATACAGAAATAGAGAATTAAACAGTGGTTACCAGGGGTGAAGGGTTGGAGAGGAAATGGAAAGACGTAGGTCAGAAGATACAAAGCAGCAGATATGTAAGATGAGCAAATCTAGAGATCTAATAAACAAAAGGAGAACTACAATTAATAAAATTGTATCTGGGATTTTTGCAAATTGATTAGATTTTAGCTGCCCTTACCACAAAAATGGATAACTATGTGAGATGATGGATATGTTAATTTGTTTCTCTATAGTTATCATTTTACTGCCTGTATGTAACTTATAACATCATGTTGTATACCTTAAATATACACAATTGAATGTATTTAAATAATAATTTTAAAAAGGAATGAAGCAGATTCCTATGAATGGAAAGTGATTTCAAATAGATATTGTCCAGTGCATAAAGTGCAGTAGAGCATATGGTATGCTTGCATTTGTGTCTGACTCTTTCAAAAGCGATTCACACATAGTTCACAGTGAATGGAATAGTTCTGGAAAGATATACAAAGAACTGTAAGTAAGTGTGGCTTGAGAAGCCAATTTCTTAATAAAAGATCTTCTCCATTTATTTCTCTGCCACTGCCTCCTCTCACTTTTTCACCACAAGGTTCAAAGGTTTCTCCTTCATGTATATTCAAGTTTTCCATAGTTCTCAGAAAAATTCTGACTTGAGTTTAAATAAATAAATAAACAAATAGACATTAAGTAGCTGAAACTATCTCCCCACTCTCCATCCCAAAATATGGTAGGAAAAAGTGCTAATATATCTTCCATTATTGACAATAATAATTAACATCTATATATAGCAATTTACCATTTGTAAAGCACGTTCTTATATGACTTTAACATTGATCTTCACAACCCACTATGAAATGAATATTTTCATCCCTATTTCCCAGATTGTTAAAAAAGTTAAGTAATTTGCTCAGATTTATGCAGCTAGTAAATGGTGGATGTGGGCATCAAGCAGACAGATCTTCTTGTTCTAATTTAATTACTTATTAGCGTATGTATTAATTTTTTTCAACTTTGAAAAATTATCTTAAAGATGACTTTAAAAGAGAACAAGTAAGTAGTGAGAACTAGGAAAAATCATTCAACCTGGGTATTAGCAAATGTTAGATCTTGAAAAAAATATCATTTTAATCAAGAATGAGTGTACAAAGCAAAACAGAACCACATAGTATTTACAAAAAGATGCCATAACTTAAAAGAAGAATACTATACTATTCAAGAAGCAGTAAAATAGTCTACTTTATTTAAAAAGAAATATTAATGACGGGAAAAATAAATACATAAATGTGAGGAACGCCAGAAACAGAGACCTAAGTGGAGTGCAGTCCCAGACCCGGAGGTCTTGGCAGATGGGCAGCAATCTGAACAGAGTGAGAGAAGTTTGTCAAGGCTCATGTTCATCAGACGCCACATCAAGTCATGCAGGAAGCAGCCATGATGGATTGTTGATTGCCATGTGGCAGCCCTCAAGGGCCCTGCAGATACTGTGAGGATGAGATCCATTGTTCACAGGTAGCACAGTGCATGTCAGGCACTTAGCTATGTGCTGGGAACATCTTCAGTCAGTACTACTCTACAACACCCCCCAGTAATTCAAGAGTGTCTCTGAATTCTCTGGGCCCTACCAAATTTGTGGAGGGTTGCTAATTCAATGAAAACATTTTATAACTAACAAATGAGAACATTTTTCCATATGCTTTCCACCTGTAGTTATTTAATGATATAGCTTGTCAAAGTAGAGAGAGCTTTATAAATTGGAATGAGTTCTACAAATATTTGAGATGTTTGGGGTGTTTTTCCCCAAAATAATTCTGGTAGAAATTTTTCCAACCCCATCGTTTCTTATGCAAACTTCTTAATTTTTACTATAAAGCAATGTTTTTTTTTATTATCTTAGTTAACACAAAATAGATCCCAGTCTCAGCCTTTAGTCTTGTTTTAATTATGCCAGAAATACCAAAACAAAACAAAATGAAAATCCCTCATATTGGTGATCTGCTCAACTTCATTCACATATCTGGTTTCATCTCAAGTTATGAAAAGGATTACCTTTTCCAAATAGTAACTCTTTTTTTTTTTTTTTTTTTTTTGAGATGGAGTCTTGCTCTGTCGCCCAGGCTGTAGTGCTGTGGCGCGGTCTCGACTCACTGCAAGCTCCGCCTCCCAGGTTCACGCCATTCTCCTGCCTCAGCCCCCCGAGTAGCTGGGACTACAGGCGCCTGCCACCACGCCCGGCTAATTTATTTTTGTATTTTTAGCAGAGACGGGGTTTCACCGTGTTAGCCAGGATGGTCTCGATCTCCTGACCTCGTGATCCGCCTGCCTTGGCTTCCCAAAGTGCTGAGATTATAGGCGTGAGCCACCGCGCCCGGCCTCCAAATAGTAACTTTTAATGTGTGTAGGAAGAATGTTTCCTGCTTTGGGGCAGATTCAGTCTAAATTAAGAAGCCTGAAATCATATCTTTCTTCTTCTGTCTATAAATAAACAAAAGGAATGTAAAGACTATTAGACATATGTTCTAATTTTCTTTTCAAATCACATATACTGGTAAAATCATTTTAGTCTATCAGTATGTGTATCTCTTTTGTTAAATTAGGTAACTCATGTTTTGAGTTGAATAAAGTATAGTAGCAATAGCGTTTTCTTCAGTTAAATATGACAATATAATATGGCTGTTTTCTCATGGTATTCATTATCCTGGATATAGGCTAGCAAAGATATTCTTCAGCTGAGCCTGAACAATAATGAAGTGAGATGGTTCATATCCAATAACTTTACAGGTATATAAATTATGATTTTAATTGATGTATTAAATAAAATATAATTCAATATAATTTTATAATTAAAACCTATCTAATACACTTACTTCTAGAAATACATCTCAAATACATTAATCTAAAATAGAAAAAAAATCCATTTGTGCAAAGCTATTTAAAAGTACTGCCATTGGCAACTTACAAAAAATAGAAATCATACATACAAAGATCAGCTAAGTGCTTTCTTCCCATAGAAGAGGAAGTGACTGCTCAGGTAGGAACTATCTATTCTCTACTCTCTTTTTCCGTCCGCTGACTGAACACAGAAGACTCCAAGACCTGAGGGGGCAGTAGAGCCTCAAGTGGAAACATCCTAGGTTCCTGAATCACCACATGGAAGAAAGTTACCTGGAAACCACGAACATTTGCACCAGACCTTTAAATGAGCAAGAAATAGACTTTCATTGCATTCTTTAAGCCACTGAAATTTTGTGCTTAACAAAACCACCAGTTCTATGCTAAGTTATATACCAACCAATATTCAATAATGTGGAATGATTAAGAAAGAAGCTATAGCATTTTAAGACAGCTAGATGGTACCCTGATATTTATTAGCTACTTGATTGAGAAGTAGAAAACAAAACTATAGGTGCAGAATATTATAAGACAAAATGCTCTGAAGGGGTCATCTGATATTAGACATAAAGGAATGGCTAGTATTGAATTTTGAATTGCTGTGTTTACTGTTTCTTTATATCTGGTCTCCACTGTAAAGATATATGGCTAATTGTTAGGGGAAAGACTCATTAAGAATCCCCCCACCCATACCACCCATAGGTTGGACAGAAAATTGTTCATATGGTGTCATGTGTCAATGTAATCATCTCTCCTAAGAGATATTAGCATCTCTGGGGCAGACACCCTGTTGAATTCCCATGTATCTAGCACAGGGTGGAACACGTGGGAATTACTCACCATCTACTGAACACGTGTAGAAATCCATTTATCCAAAGACAATCGCTCCCTTTGGATTTAACTATACGTTTTTCTAACGGTAGTCTATTCTCCTTTCCCAGCTAACCTGCAATTTCTTAGACCAATCTCTTTAAGCTCTTCAGCCTTTTTCTCTAAACCAATACACTGAGCACACCATATAAAAAGCAACAGAGAATTAACTTGAGATTATCAGACTAATGATACAGCTATCATAGTGTGGAATGCTTTGTGAAAAGAATATTACTGCCAGAGAATAAATGTGAATACATTTTCTAAGATTTCACCAGGCATCTACATCTGTGTGCATGTGACAGGTTTTTGTTTGGTGTTTGCCTGAGCTGCTTAAGGCTTTTGTCCAGTGGAGGGACAGTACTGCCTAATTGCTGCACTCCATTTGTCCTACAACGAAGAATCCGCAGCTTCCTTCTTTATTAGCTTCTCCCAGCAAAACAGAACCATGACACAGAACTTGAACTCAATCCAATTAGGGAACTTTTAAGTTGAAATAATAGAAAGAGGCTCCTTGCATACCTCCTAATACCTGTTTTCCAGAAATAGATCTGAAACATTCAGGTGGGCCAGAGCCTGCAACTTCACTTTCCTGTCACCAAGTCACCACTAATAAGAGAAAGGACGCCTCTGTATCACCGAGGAGTATTTCCTTATCTGCCAAAAGAAACTCACGTTCCCCTCGAGGAAGCCAACCCTTCCAATCTCACAGAGGTTTAATGGGTATTTGCCACTAATCTTCTCTCTGGCACAACATTTATAAGGAAGCAAGTGAGCAACCCACTAACTTAGCTCTGTTTAATGGATTATTAGTCTTTGTGTTTCCTCTCTAGCCCCCTTATATTTTACTCTCAGTACAGAAGCTACACTGAACCTTTAAAAATAGGTCAAATCATATCAGTCTTCTCTCAAAGCCCTGTGTTGGCTTCCTATTTTGCTCCAAGTAACGAACTTAGAAGAGGCTTAGAAGGTCTTTATGATCTGACCCCCTGTGATCTCTGACATCTCTTCCTCTCCCCTCACTCACTCTGCTCCAGGAACACTAGCCTCCTTGCTATTATTCAAACACGAGAGACCACTCAAAAGCCCATGCAAAGCCTGTACACTTGCTGGTCTCTCTATATCGAAGCCTCCACCTTTTCCAGACACTCACTATAACTAACTCACAGACCTCCTTCAGATGTTTGCTCTAATATGACCTCCTCAATGAATGAGCCATCCCCCCAAACACACACACACATTATCCCTTTGTCCTGCTTTATTTTCCTCCATGCCATTTATTATCTTCCAGCATACTAAATCTTTTCTTAATTTGTTTATTGTCTGCTTTCTTCTACTCTAATCTAAGCCTCATGAGGGCAGGGATTTTTGTCTGCCTCTTTGCCATTGTACTGTCAGCCCCTAACTCATAACAGGTATCCAATGAATATTTATTGAAAGAACAAATTAAAAGCCTATTATGCACAAAAACACAGTGCACATAGTAGTACTACCACTGTATACACTACATGATTGTAATAACAAAGTAATAACGGGCAGTCTTTGGGAACAACAATGTACCCATGAACAAACATGAGATGAGAGGGCTTCTCTGAAAATAGAGATTAATATTCCTTATTTATCATCACCTTCACATAAAACTCAAACTACTGTGGTTTTGCTCATCCATCCTGTTTGCTCTCCCTACCACAGGCTACAGCCATCTCAATTTTTTTGGTAGTTGTCAGATTTTGCTGTTGTTGTTCACTAAAAAAGACCATTTGAAACTGACTCTTCTATATCTTGGTTTCACAGTACCTCCGTGATCTTCAATTAATTCCTGAGCAAAATTACTTCACCTGGATACAGTGGCTTTCCAACTGTTGAAGAACATATGTAGCCATTGGACCCAAAAAGAAAATTAAGTCTGTTTCTCATTCTGATACCATTTGACAAAACCCTGAGTTTCCTAGTTTAAGACACATTTAACAGCAAAACCAGTTGTTCTCAATTGTCATACTATATTTGTACAAAGCTATTGATTTTTCTTTCTAGGTTTTTTCTTTGGATTTTTTCATCATTGAAACAAACAATAGAAAAATTTTAAACTGACTACAATATAATATAAAGCTGCCTCATCTTTCCCTGTAAAATCCTGGAACAAAGACAGTACTCACCATTTTTTTCCGGTCTCTCCCTAAAGAGTACTATTTTTTTTTTTTTTTTTGAGGACAAAAAATGCCATCTTAGGTACAACAGAAAGTAATAAACATAGTCCAGGGCAGCCCCTAGCAACAATACAGGTAGACATTATATACATATATATATATATATATACACACACACATATATAGATACACATATATATACACACACATATATATACATATATGTTACTATTTATATATGTTACTATTATATATATGTTACTATTTATTTATAATAATAATTCTACAACAGAAGTTGGGATATTTTACAGAAGGAAAACTGACCTTTCAGAGACGTGAATTTGCTCAAAGTCACAAAGTAGTAAGTAACAGAGCTAGGATCCAAATCTAGACACCTGCAGACCAGCCTGTGTTCTTCCCACATAGCTGTGCTGCCTCTGTGCCAGTGCTGAGTCCAGTCCTGACCAAACCTCCTTAATGGAAACTTATAGCCTGGTACTTCCTGTGTTATTAAGGAAATGAATCATTCATACTTGGCAACATTTACTAATTCCTAGTGAACAGATTATATAACACTCTTGGCATTCAATCATTTACTAAGCAGCTAAATTACTATTTTAATCTAATGTGAAAACAGCTCTGATACTGTCAGTGTTAATCAGAAATTGCCATGTACATATTAGTGACTCCCACTCCTAAATAACTGATATCTTATTCATATTGCAGCATATAGAATGATGTTTACTAGAGTTTAGTTTAATTTTATCACATAACTCGGAAGGCATAGATATTTATGAGATTAAAATCGGGCATTTTAAATTTGAGGAAAGAAAACTGTATTTTATCGTATTAGAATCCAATGGATAGCAAATCTACTCCCACTTTCCCTACTCCAGCCTTCTAAATTTAGCTCCACATCACACAGGTCATTAAGATTCAAAAGTAACAACTGCGTCATTCCAGGTTTAAATGAAACAACATCAGAGCACAGGAAAAATTATAAAAATGTTCTTCTAAGTTAAGACCAAAGAGTTAAAATGTAAGGCAGATGGTAGCACTGAATTCCGTACCCTTGATTTGCTTACCAAAATGCACAAGAAATCTCAGAATGAGAAAGGCAGCTGCAAGAGCACTGGAAATTGGTAATATTGACAAATGATTTCTCAGTGGAAAAAAAGAAACATTTTAATTTACAAAAGTATGGGTGGGGTTCTAGGTCAGAACTAACGGGCCAGACAAAGTAATGGTAGATTTCCACCTAAATCATTGCTTACCTTAACCTCAAAGTCAGTGAGTGGGTGATAGGAACAGAAAAAATGTACGTGAAGAAATAATGGAAAGTTTCTAAATTTAGTGAAAACTATAAACTCACAGATCCGATAATTCCAACTAACCACAAAAACATACGAAATATGAAGAAAACTACACCATGATACACTATTATCAAATGGCCCAAAAGCAGTGATAAAAAGGAAATCATCAAAACAGCTGGAGGGAGGGAAGTGGGAGGGAGAGCAGAGGGGAGCATGCTAAGCAGAGGGGAGCAACAATCATGGTGACAGCAGATTTCTTGTCGGAAACATTGCAGTGAATAGAGAGTGGAGCACAATGTTTAGATACTGGAAAAAAAATCTGTCAATCTATTTTTTTATATCTAGCCAAAGTATACTTTAAATATGAAGGTGAAATAAGGAATTTTTCAAGCATATAAAAGCAGAAAAATCATCATCAGTAAACCCACACCACAAGAAATGTTAAAGGAAGAAGGCAGGAAAATCAGGCACTTTCTTCAGGCAGAAGAAAAAGGATAAAAGGTGGAAACGGCTTTAAACAAAGGAAGAAAGAACGCTGGAAACGGTAACTACACGGATAAATATACGAGATTGAGTTTATAACATATTTATAAGTAAAACATCCGAAAACAAATGTGTCAAAGAAACAGAAGCATACAACCCCAAACACACTATATGTGAGGTGGTATAATATCACTTGAAAGTAAAAGTTAAATATGTAACTATAAGCCTTAAAGTAACCACTAAATTAACAAAGCTAAGAGTTATAGCTCATAAGCCACCAAAGGAGATAGAATAGGATGAATTAATCCAAAAAGAAGGCAGGAAAAAAAAAGAAAATGAGGAATGAAGAATAAACAGATAGAAAATAACAAAATGATAGGTGTGAACCTATCTATATCAACAACCACATTAAATGTAAATATAAATGGTCTGATAACACAATTTAAAATCCAGAGACTGTCAGATTGGATACAATAGCAATACCCAACTACATGCCGCCTACAAAACTTCATTTTAAATATAAAGACACACATAGTTTAAGAGAAAAAGACTAAAAAACTATACACCATGATAACACTAACCAAAAGAAAACTAGAATGGCTATATTCAGACAAAGTATTATTCAAAGAAAAGACAATTAACAGCCATTAGAAAATAAATCCATAATTATAAATGGATCAACTTATCAAAAGGACATAATCATCTGACATATTTCTGCACCTAATAATACAGCTTCAAAATACATGATACAAAAACTGATAGCACTGCAAAGAGAAATAGACACATTCACAATTACAACTGGAGATTTCTATATGCTCTTTGAAAAACTGACAGACCAAGTGGATACAAAATCACGAAGGATATAGAAGACTTGAACAACACAATGAAGCAACTTGACCTGATTAACATTTATGGAACACTCCAACTTACAACAGCAGAATACATGTATTTTTCAAATGCACCCAGAACATCTACCATATTTTGGTCCACAATATAAGTCTTAAGAAATATAAAACATTCAAATCATAAGTATGCTCTTCCATCAGGGATTTTTAAAGTTTTCAGATTTTTTTCATTTTATACTACTGCTGGGTAAGATTTATAAACTCATGGGTGAGGAAAAGCATTTTCACACTCAGTCACGCCCTTAAAAGGTTATATCAGAGCCTACTGTGTAAGGATATGAAAAATGAACCTGTTCTAAGCTGGGATGCATTTTCAGGAGAAGGGACCTCCACCAACTATTGATCCAAAGAACCTGAGTCTCTCACACACACAACTATTGATCCAAAGAACCTGAGTCTCTCACACACACGAAAGACCATAAATACCTCTAGCAATATTAAGGCAATGTTGAGGAAGTTGTTCCTTTTTTCTCAAAATCCCTTCCTCACCTCTATTAGCCATTGAGGTTGTCCTAGATTTTATCTATACCCCACATTTTAGTGAAAAGCCAATGATTTTACTTGAAATAATTGCTAGTCTTCATTGTAGATTTTTACATAAAATATGATGTGTAACTGACAGCACTTCAGACCCAGACAGCAGCAGCATTTTAGGTTCCATGTGGCAATTAGCCACAAAATTAGGTCAACACAAGACAGGATAAGCGATCCTAAAGAAAGGGAGCATTTATAAGATGGAAAATGGGATCAGAGGAGGACATGACAGAAACATATTATAAAATGATTAGAAAAATTATCTAGATTATGCTTCTTAAAAGAAATGTGATATTTTATATCATACAAAATAATATCCTTTCTAGTATGGTCATATCACTGTCCTCCCATTTATCTTATAATACTTGGCTATCTTGACCAAGAAAATATTTTCTTGGCATCTGCTTTTCTATATCTCTATCCATGTTGACAATATGCAATAAGAGACTCTCTTCTTCTCACTTTAAACCTACAGAAAGTTTTCAGTTAGGCTGACACACATGCCAAAGCTTTATAGCAGTGTTCTGGTGCATGTTTCCAATGAACAAAAACCTCCAGGAAGCCTCCTGAATGCCAGCCCCTCCAATTCAGAGTTAATGATTCTATTTAGTTTACAGATACAGCATACACTCTGTGGTGAGAGCCTCAGTGATTTCATATCCTTTACTACACTGGGATGATTCTTAAAGACAGAGCTGAGCCTAAGCCACTGTCACACCCAATGAAATCTAGGAGAGACAGGGAGGGAGAGAAGGAGGGAGAAAGAGACAGAGGGACACCATAAAGCCACCACAAAGGGTAACCCTGTAATAAGACCCATAAAAAGTTGTTTGTTTTTGAGAGGGGGGGTTATAACACAGAGTAGATTTTTTAGTTAATGATTAATAGTTATACATATTTTGTGGTACATGTGATATTTTTGATACATATATAATGTTTAATTATCAAATCAGGATTACTGGTCTTTCCATTGCCTCAAGCATTTATCTTTCCTTTATGTTGGGGGCATTTTAATTCTTCTCTTCTAGCTATTTTGAAATATGCAATACATTATTGTTAACTACAGTCACTCTACTATACTATCAAACACTAGGTCTTATGACTTCTAACTGCATTTGTATGCTACTTAATCACCCTCTCTTTACCCCTCTTTCCTCTTACACTTCTCAGACTCTGGTAAATACCAACCTACTCTGTCTCCATGAAATCCACTTTTTTCTAGCTTCCAAATATAAGAATACGTAATATTTGCCTTTCTGTGCCTGGCTTATTTCATTTAACATAATGATTTTCAGTTCAATCCATGTTGCTGCAAATGACAGGATTTTGTTCTTTTTTGTGGTTGCATAATATTTCACTGTTTATGTATACCACGTTTTCTTTACTCATTCATCTCTTGACAGACACTTGGGTTGATTTTGTATCTTGGCAAAAGGGCTGCAATAAACATGAGACGGCAGATATCTGCTTGATATATTGATTTCCTTTCTTTTGGATATATACCCGCAGTGGAATTTCTGGATCACGTGGTAGTTCTATTTTCAGTTTTTTGAGGATTGTCCATAATGTTTTCCATGGTGGCTGTACTAATTTACACTCCTGCCAACAGTGTATGAGCATTCTCCTTTCTTAGGGAGGTTTTTGTGGAGACTCTCTCTTTCTTCAATCTTTCCTCTTCTCTCTTCTTCATTTACCATGTTTTAGCTACATTGACTATTTAACAATTCTTAGAACAGAATAAGTTCCTTCTTAATCACAATCATTGTACCTGCAGTTCCCCTTGTCTGGAATGCCCTTCCCTTGGCTTTTTATGTTAGATACACTATCTCTTCAGAGAGAACTACCCTGGCCGTCTCTCCAAAGTGAGTTCCTCCTATCCAATTATTTTCTAGCATAGCACCTTTGAAATTTCCTTCACAGAATTGACAACATGCTTTTGTTTATTTATTTCTCTATTACTTAACTGCCTCACCCACTAGAATGCATGCCTATCTAGATGACCATTATATCCCCAGACCTTAGCACAGTGCCTGGCAAAATTTTTTAAAACTGAATAAAAATGTATTCAATAAACAACTCATCAATACATATCTGCCCCTTCAGAACCCAGAATTCAGTGTATAAATAAAGCTGTGAAATAAGATGAGTACTAGTTGCCAATATTCATTCACATTGTCCGTAAGGGGACACACATATGTGCCGGAATCTTTCCTTTCACCAAGGCAAGATACCTTATCCTCCAGACCTCCTAAAGTTTCCATCCAAACAGCAGACAAATGGGACAGACAAGTCAATATGTATGCATAAAATTTAGTTATTGTTTATACCAACCACACACAAGATGAGCTGGAGACACAAAAGGTCTACAGTAACCACAGAATTTCCAAGCAGAAAAATTTCAATTCAACGCTTTTGACACACAGAAAAATATTTGCCCTCATGATTTTGTTGAGAAAGGCAATCTGAAATGGGACTTGGGATCTCTGCAAATTCTTACTGGTTATGCCAACCATGCAATATACTGACAGCTCTCTACCCAGGCCATTTTTCAGGGTTACATTTGCAGCAAACAATCTTTAAGAATGAGGTAATGTCTCCTTTTAAAATAAAGAGCTTGCTTATTGTTTGTTATACAAGTGGTGAATTCTCCAAGATTAGTGTTCCTCAGCCCTAATCAAGGCCAGCCTCAAGGGCATGCAATCTGTGTGGTCTCACAGGGACTCACATTGAAGAGAGCCCTGCACTTGGCTTAATACTCTTCTTGTGTCATCTTAACATTCTTAATGATTTTATCTCTGAACTTGTATTTTGTAAGTGAAGTACAAAGAGACAATGGACCACACAAATGAGCAGAGAAGAGGTGTACAACATGCACGTCCACCATTCCTTGGGGCCCCATTCAAATGTTAGGTATATTTGCAATACCTAACCAACATAGAATTCTGGGATTTCAGTGAGATTCAAAGCAAGTACAAGGTAAGTGTGTCACATCTATGACTGAATAAGCAAGGGCTCTGAAGCCGATGATCCCACCCTTTCCATTGGACCAGAACTTGCTTAGAATATACAAAAAGGAAATGGCATTCTAAAAAACAGAAGCAACCAAGGAACCTAATCATATCCTTTCGTACTCATGTTACTTCCTTTGTATTTCCTTCCTTCCTTCCTGCCATTTAACATTCAAAACGATGGCATAGAAGGAGAGGGGAAGATATAGCAAACCACAGTTTCTTTTCTTTTTCTCTTCTTTTTTATTTTTGAAATGGAGTTTCACTCTTTGTTGTCAAGGCTAGAGTGCAGTGGTGCGATCTTGGCTCACTGAAACCTCCGCCTCCCAGGTCCAAGCGATTCTCCTGTCTCAGCCTCCCGAGTAGCTGGGATTACAGGCACCTGCCACCATGCCCGGCTAACTTTTGTATTTTTAGTAGAGAGGAGGTTTCACCATGTTGGACAGGCTGGTCTTTGAACTCCTGACCTCAGGTGATCTACCCGCCTCAGCCTCCCAAAGTGCTGGGATTACAGGCATGAGCCACCACACCTGGCCTCACAGTTTCTTTTCATTTTAGTCCTTCATTACTCATCAATAAGACAACACTAGAGAACTTAATAGAATACATGGATATCAAGACATAAAATAAAATTGTTGGGTGGAGGGCAGCCAAGATGGCCGAATAGGAACAGCTCCAGTCTACAGCTCCCAGCGTGAGCGACGCAGAAGACGGGTGATTTCTGCATTTCCATCTGAGGTACCGGGTTCATCTCACTAGGGAGCGCCAGACAGTGGGTGCAGGACAGTGGGTGCAGCGCACCGTGCATGAGCCGAAGCAGGGCGAGGCATTGCCTCACTCGGGAAGTGCACGGGGTCAGGGAGTTCCCTTTCCTAGTCAAAGAAAAGGGCGACAGACGGCACCTGGAAAATCCGGTCACTCCCACCATAATACTGCGCTTTTCTGATGGGCTCAAAAAACGGCACACCAGGAGATTATATCCCACACCTGGCTCGGAGGGTCCTATGCCCACGGAGTCTCACTGATTGCTAGCACAGCAGTCTGAGATCAAACTGCAAGGTGGCAGTGAGGCTGGGGGAGGGGCGCCCGCAATTGCCCAGGCTCGCTTAGGTAAACAAAGCAGCCGGGAAGCTCCAACTGGGTGGAGCCCACCACAGCTCAAGGAGGCCTGCCTGCCTCTGTGGGCTCCACCTCTGGGGGCAGGGCACAGACAAACAAAAAGACAGCAGTAACCTCTGCAGACTTAAATGTCTCTGTCTGACAGCTTTGAAGAGAGCAGTGGTTCTCCCAGCATGTAGCTGGAGATCTGAGAACGGACAGACTGCCTCCTCAAGTGGGACCCTGACCCCTGACCCCCGAGCAGCCTAACTGGGAGGCACCCCCCAGTAGGGGCAGACTGACACCTCAAACGGCCGGGTACTCCTCTGAGACAAAACTTCCAGAGGAACGATCAGACGGCAGCATTCGCGGTTCACGAAAATCCACTGTTCTGCAGCCACCACTGCTGATACCCAGGCAAACAGTGTCTGGAGTGGACCTCTAGCAAACTCCAACAGACCTGCAGCTGAGGGTCCTGTCTGTTAGAAGGAAAACTAACAAACAGAAAGATCATCCACACCAAAAACCCATCTGTACATCACCATCAACAAAGACCAAAAGTAGATAAAACCACAAAGATGGGGAAAAAAACAGAGCAGAAAAACTGGAAACTCTAAAAAGCAGAGCGCCTCTCCTCCTCCAAAGGAACGCAGTTCCTCACCAGCAACGGAACAAAGCTGGATGGAGAATGACTTTGACGAGTTGAGAGAAGAAGGCTTCAGACGATCAAACTACTCTGAGCTAAAGGAGGAAATTCAAACCAAAGGCAAAGAAGATAAAAACTTTGAAAAAAATTTAGACGAATGTATAACTAGAATAACCAATACAGAGAAGTGCTTAAAGGAGCTGATGGAGCTGAAAGCCAAGGCTTGAGAACTACGTGAAGAATGCAGAAGCCTCAGGAGCCAATGCAATCAACTGGAAGAAAGGGTATCAGGGATGGAAGACGAAATGAATGAAATGAAGTGAGAAGAGAAGTTAAGAGAAAAAAGAATAAAAAGAAACGAACAAAGCCTCCAAGAAATATGGGACTATGTGAAAAGACCAAATCTACGTCTGATTGGTGTACCTGAAAGTGATGGGGAGAATGGAACCAAGTTGGAAAACACTCTGCAGGATATTATCCAGGAGAACTTCCCCAATCTAGCAAGGCAGGCCAACATTCAGATTCAGGAAATACAGAGAACGCCACAAAGATACTCCTCGAGAAGAGCAACTCCAAGACACATAATTGTCAGATTCACCAAAGTTGAAATGAAGGAAAAAGTGTTAAGGGCAGCCAGAGAGAAAGGTCGGGTTACCCACAAAGGGAAGCCCATCAGACTATCAGCGGATCTCTCGGCAGAAACTCTACAAGCCAGAAGAGAGTGGGGGCCAATATTCAACATTCTTAAAGAAAAGAATTTTCAACCCAGAATTTCATATCCAGCCAAACTAAGCTTCATAAATGAAGGAGAAATAAAATACTTTACAGACAAACAAATGCTGAGAGATTTTGTCACCACCAGGCCGGCCCTAAAACAGCTCCTGAAGGAAGCACTAAACATGGAAAGGAACAACTGGTACCAGCCACTGCAAAATCATGCCAAAATGTAAAGACCATTGAGACCAGGAAGAAACTGCATCAACTAACGAGCAAAATAACCAGCTAACATCATAATGACAGGATCAAATTCACATATAACAATATTAACTTGAAATGTAAATGGACTAAATGCTCCAATTAAAAGACACAGACTGGCAAATTGGATAAAGAGTCAAGACCCATCAGTGTGCTGCATTCAGGAAACCCATCTCACATGCAGAGACACAAATAGGCTCAAAATAAAAGGATGGAGGAAGATCTACCAAGCCAATGGAAAACAAAAAAAGGCAGGGGTTGCAATCCTAGTCTCTGATAAAACAGACTTTAAACAAACAAAGATAAAAAGAGACAAAGAAAGCCATTACATAATGGTAAAGGGATCAATTCAACATGAAGAGCTAACTATTCTAAATATATATGCACCCAATACAGGAGCACCCAGATTCATAAAGCAAGTCCTTAGAGACCTACAAAGAGACTTAGACTCCCATACAATAATAACGGCAGACTTTTACACCCCACTGTCAACATTAGACAGATCAACGAGACAGAAAGTTAACAAGGATACCCAGGAATTGAACTCAGCTCTGCACCAAGCGGACCTAGTAGACATCTACAGAACTCTCCACCCCAAATCAACAGAATATACATTTTTTTCAGCACCACAACACATCTATTCCAAAATTGACCACATAGTTGGAAGTAAAGCTCTCCTCAGCAAATGTAAAAGAACAGATATTATAACAAACTGTCTCTCAGACCACAGTGCAGTCAAACTAGAACTCAGGATTAAGAAACTCACTCAAAACCACTCAACTATATGGAAACGGAACAACCTGCTCCTGAATGTCTACTGGGTACATAACGAAATGAAGGCAGAAATAAAGATGTTCTTTGAAACCAATGAGAACAAAGACACAACATACCAGAATCTCTGGGACACATTCAAAGCAGTGTACAGAGGGAAATTTATAGCACTAAATGTCCACAAGAGAAAACAGGAAAGATCCAAAATTGACACCCTAACATCACAATTAAAAGAACTAGAAAAGCAAGAGCAAACACATTCAACAGCTAGCAGAAGGCAAGAAATAACTAAAATCAGAGCAGAACTGAAGGAAATAGAGACACAAAAAACCCTTCAAAAAATTAATGAATCCAGGAGATGGTTTTTCGAAAGGATCAACAAAATTAATAGACTGCTAGCAAGATTAATGAAGAAAAAAAGAGAGAAGAATCAAATAGATGCAATAAAAAATGATAAAGGGGATATCACCACCGATCCCACAGAAATACAAACTACCATCAGAGAATACTACAAACACCTCTACGCAAATAAACTAGAAAATCTAGAAGAAATGGATAAATTCCTCGACACATATACCCTCCCAAGACTAAACCAGGAAGAAGTTGAATCTCTGAATAGACCAATAACAGGATCTGAAATTGTGGCAATAATCAATAGCTTACCAACCAAAAAGAGTCCAGGACCAGATGGATTCACAGCCGAATTCTACCAGAGGTACAAGGAGGAACTGGTACCATTGCTTCTGAAACTATTCCAATCAGTAGAAAAAGAGGGAATCCTCCCTAACTCATTTTATGAGGCCAGCATCATCCTGATACCAAAGCCGGGCAGAGACACAATCAAAAAAGAGAATTTTAGACCAATATCCTTGATGAACACTGATGCAAAAATCCTCAATAACATACTGGCAAATCGAATCCAGCAGCACATCAAAAAGCTTATCCACCATGATCAAATGGGCGTCATCCCTGGGATGCAAGGCTGGTTCAATATACACAAATCAATAAATGTAATCCAGCATATAAACAGAACCAAAGACAAAAACCACATGATTATCTCAATAGATGCAGAAAAGGCCTTTGGAAAAATTCAACAACCCTTCATGCTAAAAACTCCCAATAAATTAGGTATTGATGGGACATATCTCAAAATAATAAGAGCTATCTATGACAAACCCACAGCCAATGTCATACTGAATGGGCAAAAACTGGAAGCATTCCCTTTGAAAACTGGCACAAGACAGGGATGCCCTCTCTCACCACTCCTATTCAACATAGTGGTGGAAGTTCTGGCCAGGGCAATTAGGTAGGAAAAGGAAATAAAGGGTATTCAATTAGGAAAAGAGGAAGTCAAATTGTCCCTGTTTGCAGATGACATGATTGTATATCTAGAAAACCCCATTGTCTCAGCCCAAAATCTGCTTAAGCTGATAAGCAACTTCAGCAAAGTCTCAGGATACAAAATCAATGTACAAAAATCACAAGCATTCTTATATACCAATAACAGACAAACAGAGAGCCAAATCATGAGTGAACTCCCATTCACAATTGCTTCAAAGAGAATAAAATACTTAGGAATCCAACTTACAAGGGACGTGAAGGACCTCTTCAAGGAGAACTACAAACCACTGCTCAAGGAAATAAAAGAGGATACAAACAAATGGAAGAACATTCCATGCTCATGGGTAGGAAGAATCAATATCGTGAAAATGGCCATACTGCCCAAGGTAATTTATAGATTCAATGCCATCCCCATCAAGCTACCAATGACATTCTTCACAGAACTGGAAAAAACTACTTTAAAGTTCATATGGAACCAAAAAAGAGCCCACATTGCCAAGTCAATCCTAAGCCAAAAGAACAAAGCTGGAGGCATCACGCTACCTGACTTCAAACTATACTACAAGGCTACAGTAACCAACACAGCATGGTACTGGTACCAAAACAGAGATATAGATCAATGGAACAGAACAGAGCCCTCAGAAATAATGCCACATATCTACAACTATCTGATCTTTGACAAACCTAAGAAAAACAAGCAATGGGGAAAGGATTCCCTATTTAATAAATGGTGCTGGGAAAACTGGCTAGCCATATGTAGAAAGCTGAAACTGGATCCCTTCCTTACACCTTATACAAAAATTAATTCAAGATGGATTAAAGACCTAAACATTAGACCTAAAACCATAAAAACCCTAGAAGAAAACCTAGGCATTACCATTCAGGACATAGGCATGGGCAAGGACTTCATGTCTAAAACACCAAAAGCAATGGCAACAAAAGCCAAAATTGACAAATGGGATCTAATTAAACTAAAGAGCTTCTGCACAGCAAAAGAAACTACCATCAGAGTGAACAGGCAACCTACAAAATGGGAGAAAATTTTCGCAACCTACTCATCTGACAAAGGACTAATATCCAGAATCCTCAATGAACTCAAACAAATTTACAAGAAAAAAACAAACAACCCCATCAAAAAGTGGGCAAAGGACATGAACAGACACTTCTCAAAAGAAGACATTTATGCATCAAAAAAACACATGAAAAAATGCTCATCATCACTGGCCATCAGAGAAAGGCAAATCAAAACCACAATGAGATACCATCTCACACCAGTTAGAATGGCAATCATTAAAAAGTCAGGAAACAACAGGTGCTGGAGAGGATGTGGAGAAATAGGAACACTTTTACACTGTTGGTGGGACTGTAAACTAGTTCAACCATTGTGGAAGTCAGTGTGGCGATTCCTCAGGGATCTAGAACTAGAAATACCATTTGACTCAGCCATCCCATTACTGGGTATATACCCAAAGGACTATAAATCATGCTGCTATAAAGACACATGCACACGTATGTTTATTGCGGCACTATTCACAATAGCAAAGACTTGGAACCAACCCAAATGTCCAACAATGATAGACTGGATTAAGAAAATGTGGCACATATACACCATGGAATACTATGCAGCCATAAAAAATGATGAGTTCATGTCCTTTGTAGGGACATGGATGAAATTGGAAATCGTCATTCTCAGTAAACTATCGCAAGGACAAAAAACCAAACACTGCATGTTCTCACTCATAGGTGGGAATTGAACAATGAGAACACATGGACACAGGAAGGGGAACATCACCCACCAGGGACTGTTGTGGGGTGGGGAGAGGGGGCAGGGATCGCATTAGGAGATATACCTAATGCTAAATGACGAGTTAATGGGTGCAGCACACCAGCACGGCACATGTATACATATGTAACTAACCTGCACATTGTGCACATGTACCCTAAAACTTAAAGTATAATAATAATAAAATAAACTAAAAATAAATAAATAAATAAATAAAATAAAAATGTTAAACCAAAAAAAAAAACATTAAACTGTTGCATTGGCTTTGTGCACTGTTTCCACTGTTCTGGAAAGTGTTATATTCTAATGCCTTTAATCACACTGGTTTTTGAATAATGAGCACCGCATTTTATTTTGCACTGACTCTCACTAATTATGTGGCCATTCCTGGCTGAAATAAAAATCCACCGTATGCATAGCATCCATCTTGGACTCTCCATGTTGCCTCTGAATAACCTGGGGACAAGGAGAAACATGACAAACACGCTTATGCTCATGCTGACTGGTGTACCATGAGAAATAAAGTTGTTTGTCTCTGACCCAGGAATCATGTATCTTTTGCTAACATCTATGAAACAGTAACAGGCTAACTTATTAGCTTGCAACTAGGATGAAATTTTAGATTCTGAGAGTTTTTACACCAACCACAAAGGTAAACAGAAAACATAAAAGAGCTACTGTAGCCACAGCATTTCTAAGCAGATAAGCCCAGTTTAACTCCTTTTCACTTAATGCAAATTCTTCCCCTAGTGATCTCATTCTTTGTTGCACAATTTGATTTTGATGATTTTTTCTTCTATCTCATTTGGCCACGCCACACTAGTATCGTTACTTCTTTATACTCTTCAGGTGATGAAAATGTTAACAGTCTCTTTAATTTGTTCTTTTTCCATGAGGTCTGATTAATTTAAATATTTTGCCTTAATTTACTTAATTAATTCATTTCATTTCTACCATACAGTCCTGATAACTTTTCCTTTCCTCCATAATAAATATGACTGCTTAATAGTGCAGCCAGTGAAATGTTTCCCTGTCACATGTCTTTATTACCTATTCAAACATCTTAAAGAGATGCTATTCACAAGAACCATTCTTTCCAAAGGTACTACAATGTAACTTCTCTTTCACTGCTGATCCTAGTAACAGAGTTTCTAGCGAAAGATGAAATTGAAATATTACCTTAAATTCTCTCAAAAATATTATGATCCCAATCTTGCTTAAACTCTGTATGCAGATGATATGGTTTGGCTGTGTTCCCACCTAAATCTCATCTTGAGTTGTAGTTCCCATAATCCCCATGTGTCATGGGAGGGACCAGATGGAGATAATCGAATCATGGCAGTGGTTTCCCCCATCCTGCTCTCATGATACTGAATTAGTTCTCACAAGATCTGATGGTTGTATAAGGGGCTTTCCCCTTAGCTGGGCACTCATTCTTTTTCTTCCTGCCGCCATATGAAGAAGGACATGTTTGCTTTCCCTTCTGCCATGATTGTAAGTTTTTTGAGATCTCCCCAGACCTGTGGAACTGTGAGCCAATTAAACGTCTTTACTTTGTAAATTAGGCAGGCTCCAGTATGTCCTTATAGCAGCAGGAGAATGGAATAATACAGCATATATGTTATGAACCTATATGTTTATATAGAAGCATAGAAAAATTGGGGAAAATATACAAATTATTGCATCTCACTCAGGTATGTGAGTAGAAAAGCAGAAAAGAAGACTTACATGTTTCTACTGCCTGAATTTCATAACTAAAATATTTTACTTTTGTAATAAAAC
Source organism: Homo sapiens (assembly GCF_000001405.40). Taxonomy (NCBI): domain Eukaryota; kingdom Metazoa; phylum Chordata; class Mammalia; order Primates; family Hominidae; genus Homo; species Homo sapiens. Next base: position 21,206,979 of record NC_000002.12, on the reverse strand, counting down.
AAACCAAACATATTAAATTGTAAAAAAATTATTTGCAAAATACTCACCAATTAACAACAAAGTATTATTTTACATTTGATGCTGCCTTACTCAAAAATTCTATAGCTACTCCTTGTTATCTATTACATGGAATACAAAATTCTGCTCTTGATGTTCCGGGCGTTTCATAAGTAGTGCTTATCTCACCACCCTGCCCCACCATTGCCAATGAACATTCTTATATCCCCACTTCTTCCCATCTGCTGTTGTTCATGGAAATAATTCAGTAAGTCCCCCTTCCAACAACACAGATCGTATTTGCTTTTGCTTCCAGAATTATTTGCATGCTGAACATTTCTTTTCCTTACCTCCACATCACCTAAATCTATCCATCCATCCCAAACCCATATTTATTTGAAAATATTCACTGAGCTTCTATTAATGTTAAATGAGACTTAAAAATAAGATTATACTGTTTGCTATTTAATTGGATCTTACTCTTCTGTGAATGTTATTCTTGAAGCCATGCACAGAGATGTTTAAGTTTATTGAAGGTAGAGATCATGCTTTATAATTTTACTATTGTCTCTAAAGTACCTTAGAAGCAGTGGATACTACCAATAAAGAGGGTCTGGTTTGCCCTCATTAGACCACAGAAGGAAAGGAAGGCAATATCAACATAGGAACCTGTCAAAGAAAAATCTGTCAAAGGAGAAATGTGCATATTCTACTTCAATTTATCCTAGCAACAGAACTTTTTGCCTTATGAAAAAAAAATGGCATTATAAGGTAACTATAGTTAATTATATTGTATGATCTATTTTAGAATAACTAGAAGAGAAGAGTTTAAATGTTCACACCACAAAGAAATGATAATGTTTGAGGTGATGGATAAGCTAAATACTCTGATTTCATCATTACACAATGCATATATGTATCAAAACATCATACTGTACCCCATAAATGTGTACAATTATTATGTGTCAGTTGAAAATGAAATAAATTTTTAAATGGCATTATAATGAGAAAAACCATATGCATATAACATAAATGATTAGGGGGTGGAGTTACATTTGATTTAGTTAAATCCAACTTAGAAAGTTCAGGTATGATTGGAAGGGGTGGTATAGCAAAAAAGCAAGACTATAAAACAGAACATTTTAAATTACACATAAAAGGGTTAACTTGGCCCTTGAGAAGATTTGAGGTATTAATGGTCTCTTGATTCTCCTGTTGAGTCTGGTCAGGTTAATGGAGATAATAAGCAATTATGTTTTATATCCATGTTTTCTTACTTAAAATAAAACTTGTTATATTCCTATATATAGGAAAGGAGCCATGAGCTAAAGAAAGATATTATAGAAGCTCACTCTCATGGTGCCTGTAGGAGTAGGCCAGCTCTTGAGCTGTTAAGACTGTTTGCCTTATTCATCCCATAACACTCAGGAAGTTTGGGCTTGCCTAGAAATGGAAGCAGGGCAGCAGTCAACAGCTATCTTCCTTAAGTCTCAGTTCAACCTTTGGATTGAATCACTATTTTCCTTTTAGTCTCAAGTCTTCGGTGTTTACTCATGCTTTCTCATTCCATCTCTCCCCCTTCAGACACGTTCCTATTGCTCCACCTATAACTGGACTAAAGGACTAGAAGAAACAAAAACCCTAAGAAGAATACCAAAAAGACATATTCTATAGAAGGCAAAGCAAAAGAAACACCTTCTATCTTTAGTAAGATTCTGGGCCAGAGCCATTTTTTATAGATAATTTAGTCCCTATATATCATCCAGTGTTCCAGCACAGGGTGAAATGAAGTTATTATTGATATATTAAATGAATAAAGACCCCTATATTTATTTTTTGATTGCTAGAAATTCTGTTGGTATCATTTTATGCCAGAAATGAAAAATAAGGGTTAGTAATATTTCAATAATGAATATCTTCATGTATCTCCTACCCAGAAACTATGAAACATGGTATATTTAGACCAGGGCAACTACATGATTATAGTGGTGTCTACAAACATGTGCAAATGGTCCCTGGAGATTTTTTAGCAATTAAAAGGCATACCACCAGCAATATGAAAATAATCTCTACTGCATTTGAACAATCTTGAGGGTAGAGCTATATGCTCAATGATTCAAATAAGAATTGTCTTTTTTAATCAATCACACAGAAGAGAATGTGTTAATCATTACAAGGAACATGAAAAAAAGATTAAAAAAAAGAAAAACTTAGAATGACATGGGTGACCAAGTTATCATAGTTTACCCAGGTCTTTCCCAGATTAAGCATTGAAAGTATCACATCCTGAGAGCTCCCTAAGTCCTGGACAACTGAAGGAGTTGGTCACAGGCATTTTATTGGTTAGAGGGATAACTAAGATCATTCTAACTATGGTCAAAACTGAAAAGTCATTGACACTTCAGACTTTAGTGTCAGGTCTAAAACCAGAATATGTTTGCATGATCCAGCATAACTCTTACTATAAACTAAGAGTGTTTAGACATTTAATTACACTGAAGCCCCAACAAAAGGAGTTGACACCTTACATTTTCTCAGACAAATATCTCAGAATTCCAACTTCTCTATATGCAACACAAGGTTTAACCCTTACTCTTTTTGTTAAAGAAAAAAAATATTTAAAGCAAGTTTAATTTTCCTTGATAGTTAATACTTCAATCTGATTTAAAGTATAAAAATTGATGAGTTATAATATTATGACTATAAATAAGTATTCATTGAATTCTTTCCTCAGAGGATCTCTTGGCACTATTTAAAGGAAAGTTATCTACTGCAAAAGGTTAATCAACTCAAACTCAACAAAAGGTCAGACTTTAATTGAAAGTCCAAATGTCAAAATCTGAGACAGGCTTTAAATAGAGCAAAACAAATTTAACATGTTGGATGCTAAAAATTCTCTTGTTTAAATTTGCATCCCCAAGTCCTTGCTAGGATGACAGTACATAGTTTGTTAGAATGACAGCAGATACTTGCTAACATGACAGTACACATTTTGATAATTTCAGAGCATATACATGAGGAATATTGGTCTATAGTTTCATTATCTTATAAGTCCTTTTTCTGGTTTTACTATCAAGGTAATGCTGGCCTCTAAAAAATAACTTGGGAAGTGTTCTCTCCTCTTCTTTTTTTCTGTGGAGGAGTTTGTGTAGAACTGGTCTTTCTTTCTTTTTCTTTTTTTTTTTTTTCTTTAAGATAGGGTCATGTTCTTTGCCCAGGCTGGAGTGCAGTGGTGTGATCTTGGCTCACTGCAACCTCTGCCTGTGGGTTCAAGCAACCCTCCCACCTAAGATTCCAGAGTAGCTTGGACTATAGGCATATGCCACCATGCCTGGCTAATTTTTGCATTTTTAGTAGAGACGGGTTTTCAACACGTTGTCCAGGCTGGTCTCAAACTCCTGAACACAAGTGATGCACCCTCTTCAGCCTCCCAAAGTGCTGGGATAACAGGCATGAGCCACCATGCCCAGCCTAGAACTGATATTTCGGCCTCAAGTGTTTAGTATAATTTGCCAATAAAATTGTCTGGGCATAGAGTTTCCACACCATTAGAATGTTTTCAATTATAAGTTTATTTAATTTAACAAATAATATATTCATATGATCTATTTCTTCTCAAAGGTGGTTTTGTAGTTTGCATCTCTCAAGGAAATTTTCAATTTCATCAAAGTTGTAAAACTTATTGGCATGAAATTTGTAATAATATTCCCTTACTGTCCTTTTAATATCTGAAAGCTCTATACTGGTATTCCTATTTATTTTACTCCTGATATAAGTAAAAAACTTCTACTTTTTTTTCTTGATAAGTCGACCTCGATCAGTCATTTATATTGCTCTTTCCAACGATCAGCTTCTTTTTTGTTGATTTTATTCATTGTTTTCCTGATTCCGTCTTCATTTATTTCTGTTTCTGTATTATTTCCTTGCTCCTACTTGCCCTAGGTTATGTTTGCTCTTTTTGTTTTTTTACAGTAGAAGCTTAAATCATTGGTTTGAGACCAATACTCTTTCTGATATAAATATTTAATGGTATAGACTTCTCTTTAAGAACTACATTAGCTGTATCTCATAAATTTTGATTTGTTGCACTTTTGTTTTTATTTAAGTAAAAATATTTTTGTATTTTCCATGTAACTTTATTTTTGATCCATGGATAGCTTAGCAGTGTATTGTTTCATTTTTAAGTATTAGTTACATTATTGACTGCTAGTTTTAATTTCATTATAGTAAGAAAACAAACAGTATGATTTGAATTCTAGTAAATATGAGGAGGCTTGATCTATGGCCCAAAATATAGTCTGTTTTGGTTAATGTCCCATGTGCACTTGAGAAGAATATATATCCTGCAGCTGTTGGATGGAGTTTTCTGTAAATGTCAACTAGCTTAAGTTGGCTGATTGTATTCTTTGAGTCTTCTATATCCTTACTAGTTTTCTATCTACATGTTCTATCAATTATTAATATTGAGATCCTGAAATCTCCTATTATAATTGTGGATTTTTTCTTTCTCCTTTAGAGGTTACTGAGGTTATTTGCTTCATTCATTATGAAGTTATCTTATTAAGGTGCATAAATGTTTAGGATTGTAGAAAGGTTATCAATAGGATATAGAAGACTTGAACAACACAATTAACCAACATGATATAGTTGGCATTTATAGAATGAAGCTGCCCACTATTTGCACTTCTAATCAACAATGTATTAGGAGAGAAATACAGAAAATATTTATTGCAGCACTGACTATAATAGCCAAAAGAAGTGAGAACTACCAGAAGTAGAGAAATAAATACATAAACTATGGTTTATTCGTATGATGAATACTATAAAGTGACTAAAACGAATAAATCTTTGTGTGTCAATGTGATTAAATCTCAAAAACAAAATGTTGAACGTAAGAAGCAACTTACAAAAGGATGCATATAGTATCATAGAGCTCAGCTTTATGACATCTATGCAATTAATTTATTTTCTCTACAAAAAGCACAGAATGTAATCATCTTAATTTATACCTAAAAGATATTTGATATAATCCAAGCATCTCTTTCTAATAAAAATACTTTGTGAAGTAGGATTATGAAAAAACAAATGCGGTGTGACAAATATATATTGAGAATTCTAGCACAACTATGAGAAAAGTAAACACAGAGATACAATTAATAAGCCAATAATGGAGATAAATTAGATTTATAATGAATACTGGATTAATCCAAAAGAAAGTAGAAAAAGAGGAAAAAAGAAAGAAGAGATGGCATAAATGAAAAATAATTCACAAATGGCAAATTTTAAATCCTACCATATTAAAAAGAAACATTAAATATAGATGGTTTAAGCAACTCAATTTAAAAAACAGAGATTGTAAGACTGAATTGAAAAAACACACTATATTTTATCTACCAGAAATCAACTTTATAAAAACATGGAATGTTTAAAAATATGATTAAAAAAATATACCAGTAAATGTTAATCAAAAGAAAGCAGGAATCACATCTGAAAGACAAAGTAAAGCTCATACCAAGAAATACTAACAGGTTTAAGGGAGATATTACATTACATTAAAGGATATGATGCACTAAGAGGATAAAACAACACTTAATGTGTTTGTACCTAAGAGTAGAGCTTTGAAACACATAAAGCAAAAAAAAAAAAAAAAATGACAGAATGAAAAAAATACAGAAAATCACAACTATAATTGAACACTTCAATAGTTCTCTCTAATAATCAATAAAGACAGGAATAAAACATCAGTAAGGACAGAGGAGACCTGAAAGACTCTAAAACGTACTTAACCTAGCTGACATTTATACAGCACTCCCCCCAGTAATAGCAGAATACATGTTCTCTTTAGGTGCACATGGAACCCTGACCAAAACAGAACATTTTCTCCGGTATAAAACAAATCTTAACAAATGTAAAAGACTGGAATTGTCAAATTTGTGTTTTATGGTCACAAAAGAATCAAGCTATAAATAACAGAAAGATATCTGAAAAAATCAAAATATGTGGAAATTAAAAATATATTTCTACATAATCAAGGGATAAAATAGGAAATCACAAGGAAAAGTAGAAAATGCTTAAGCATAATAAAAACTCAGGGTATCAAAATATGCTTATACAGATAGGCAGGATTTAGAAGAAGATATATAGCTTTATATGTTCATACGAAAAAAAGATGTTCCAAGTTAAAACAATGGAGAAAATGAAAGAAACTGAAAGCTAATTGTTTGAAAAGATCAATGAAATTGATAACCCTTTAGGCAAGCTGATAAAGAAAAACAGAGAAGACACAAATGATCAATATTAGGAAATGCATTAAGTACAGCTACATCCATCACAATGGCTGAACTGCTACAATATAGTACTCAATGAAAAAAGTCATTTATATAAAAACTGAAAAACACAAAATTTAAACATCATTTTGTTAGCATTGAACACAAATGTGGTAAAACTATATAGAAAAGCATTGAAATGACGATCACTGAAATCAGGACTTTGGCTTCCTTAGATAAAGACAGCAGATGTAATTAGGGTGGGGCACACAAAGGCTTTCAAAGGTATTGGTAATGCTTTGTTTCTCAAGTTGTATAACAGGGGCCTCTAATATTTTTATTGTTATTAGTTAAGCCATAGGAAAAAAAATCAATCTATTTTCCAATTATTTAAACAATAAGCCTGAATTATTTTTAACTCTAAAATTCCTTAACAGAAGCTAGCAGCTTTCAGGAAAACTGTCAAAAATATCCACAATTAGCACTGATAAGTCTAGCAGAACTTTTTTTCCATCTCTAGCCATACCATAAACTTTTGCTCTCTGTAGTCTGACAAAATAACACAGATTTTACAAGATGCTTCTTTTCTCGGGGAGAGAGCTACCACATAGTAACTAAATGTACAGCTGAAATAAGCTGCATTGTTGAAACCTCTAAGCTGAGTATCAGTGCCGGCAACATTCTTTATTAGGATCTCTTCTTACAAGTGGACATTTTTATTTTCCCCCAACCCAGCCCACTCTTCCAATAAGGAAAAATAAACCAAGATAAATAAAATCAAACACTCGAATGGTAAAGATTAAACCTCAATTTTCATATTAGTCATAAAACTCCATGAATCCAAAAGGAAATGTTGAAATGTTCAATATCGTTTACTTTTTATAACTATTTGCTTTTCAAGAGAATCTGAGGATGCTCAGCTTGTTCATTTCCCCACAAAGATAAAAGTGTATCCTGCTAAAGAGGCTGATCACTACATTTAACAAAGGAAAGATTATAGATAAACCTGTTTATCAAAAGACATTCCTTCAGCAAAAAACACAGAGATGTTGCTCAGACCTGCCCTTAGCCTTCTGAGAATAGGGACATATCAGCAACGAGAAAAGGGCTGTGCAAAAGGAAAAAATGATATCAAAATTTCTATTTTGTGAACAAATATGTTGATATTTGAAAGCATCAACATGACAATATAGAAATAACAATAGTAAATGTGGTCAAAATCATTTTGTTGGAGCCCAATTTTGTTTGTAAACGGGGAAAGGTACAGGTAATAACATCATTGGCACAGGATTCCCTAAATCACATTGTTACTAATTCTGTCCCATCAAGGACAAGAAATCTTCCAAACCACAAACAGAGGCAATGTAGCAACTCAGGATATTCCAATTTTTCCGCTGCCATTAGCAGTTTATAAACTTTCCTGAACAATGCATGTCTTGGGGAATTTTACAGGCAGGGAAGAAATGGAAGGGGTTGTATCAATGATTTATGTGTAAGTCAACTAGAAACCTCTACCGAAATACTTCCACTTTTGTTATAAATCTTCATTACCACATTTAATTTAGTAGGCCATAGTCTCATCAAAATTCAAACCCATTTACTCTATTTTGACACTTAAAAATGTCTGATTAATAGAGCCAGTAGGTTTCACATCTATTACATCTTTTATTTTTACATAATTTATGCCAAGGAAAATATCTACAGAGTTTGTGCCCGATTGTCTCCCTTCACCAACCTATGATCATTTATGGAGATATTCTCCAAAATTCATCACCAGATCCAGGAGATCATTAATAGGCTGTCCCTGCTGGGCAGGGAAGAGCAGGACAGAGGGCAACACTGATGTCTCGCCCATTGGTCAAGCTGCTTCTGCTGAAAGTCCAGAAAGAAAAGTAACAGATGTTGCGGTAATTGCCAGTGTGATACAGTCACGAGCAATTATTTAAAGAAACAAGCTCAAAAACAAACTTTACAAAAAGGACCTCAAAGACTACATATTTATCAATCAAAGGCAAGAATAACAGAAACCAAAGAGAAAAAAAAATCCCTTTTACGGTGCTACTGTAAAAAACAAATCAAGCATATTTTCACTAATTTTAAAAACTGTCAGTTCTTTCTTGGTGAAAATATGAGTCCATATGGCATACTGGGTCTGCTAGACTACCATGAGGATATGATCCCATATACGAATTTATTTAAAGGTGATTTTAATAGGGACAATGTTAATCAATTTAACCATTTACTTTTATTGTATCACTTGTCATTGTAACTGGCTGCTGCTTTTTTACATCCACACAAAACCAGGACTTCAAGGAATTGGACTGATGCTATCTTGAGCTCTCATTTATTTATACCTTAATTTATTTTGGTGTGGATGCATTGTTTAAAAAATAATTAGGTTGTCTTAAAATAAAGCACATTTAAAATAAAATAAATACAGTCATGTTTAGAACCTAGCAAAAGTATTGTGGCCCAGCACTCTACCCAAGCACCTGAATACTACCGGGAGCCTCCAGCAACCAGGCAGAATTGCAAATAAGGATGAAGTCACCACAGAATCTTCTGAAAGGTTATGTTTCTCTTTTACTGCACATTAAATTGACTAGTTGGCTCCATATCTCCACATGAAACAAGGAGATTCGTAGTGGCAAAGCTGATAACATTTTGAAATCCTTTATGAGGAAAACCTAAATGCCAGTTCCAGCACACACAATCTAAAGTACTCCAGAACAAATGACTATTCATCTTGACCCCCTCCCCATCTCCCCTACATTGCTCTGTGTAGCTCAGCAATGTCCTGATTGCAAAGATGAAGTTTCCATATTTCCCAATACAATCTCAAAGGACTCCATTGCATACGATTCCCTAGTTAAAATCTGCAGATTAATTACTGGGAAAACAGCTAGACCTCTTCCCCTCCCCTGAAAAAGTAGGCCACCTCAGGGAGGGCAACTCTTCACGTATCTTTGTGGCTGCCAAATATTAAGAGATGAGATGTGATAGTATATCCATTATGCTTTGGAGGATAATTTTAATTATATGTGTGTATTACCCCTCATTGTGCATACTCTTAAAATAAACATTAAAGTGGAAAAATACACTAAACTCAGTCATGACTATTCCATGAAAAAAATAAAAAGAAGGAGAGTGTGCTCTGCAGATCCATGGCCCATATTTCTCCAGATTCTGGGCACACATGGTGCACAGCTGTTGCCTAAATCTGGCCTTTGGGGGCCAGGGTGAAAGAAAACACAACTAGAGGTGAAATAAGCAGGTGTTTTCCTTTATTTGTTTGCTCTCATTATTTGAGTGGGAAGAGCAAGATAACTTCCTATATGGCAAAGTACACAGAAGAATTCAAACTTTTCATCAAATTTCTTTGTTTCTTAATGGCAAATTGACAGTGTTCTTTCTGGAAATAAATTTACCGTCATGGCTATAGAGTACAAGAATGAAAACAAAAAAGTCTTTGTTGGTCTGAGCTAAAACTAAAATACACTTATGACACTAAATCCTACTCTGCCCACTCCTTAAATATTAAACAAACATTAATACAGAACTTACTCCAGCCCACCTTTTATTACAGATAACTGTAATTTCCTCATCTCCCCTATCAGAAATAAACTCCTTGAGGTCAGGAATGATATTATTCATTTGTGTTCCAAACGCAGATCTTGCATAAATATTTATGAAATGATTTGCATCCAGCCAACACACCAAAATATCTGTAGAATGAATCCGTTCTGAGTCCCTCAGGGAAATGCTATGAGAACAAGATCTTTTTTGGAATTATGATATTTGAGACGAGTGTAGTCTATTCACACGGGTAACAAGTTTTGCTTACTAGTAGTAATTTAGTGCAAGGAAACAAGGTGGACAATTCAAGGAAAATCCTCAAGTTTCCAAAGCAGAGACATAACAGAATGAAGTTTTTTTTTCTCTCTCTCTCTCTCCAGCATCATCCCATGTGTATATTCCTACTGGATTGCTCTTATACTAGTTATATAATTTTAAAACACTGGTTATCCTCATGAACACATGATATTGAACTGATATTTACATATATATATGTGTGTGTGTGTGTGTATATATATACATTATACATGTTAATCTGTGAGCTGATTCTAGCCTGAAAGCTGTCAGTATGATGTTGGCTGTAATGTCTCTGAGAAAGTTTTAGGCAGAAGGAGTTGTGTGAAAAAAAAAAAAAAAATCCTGTGCCTAAATTCTAAAGAGGAGCTAGTCTTGGATTAAGCACATGCAAGTAAGGGCATTAAAATATGCTTAAATGAATTTTATGTGTTACATATATAAATACATATGTATGTAATGCATTGAACTAGTCATCATTAGGAGAATAAAAATAGTCACCTTTACTCTCTCACTCTTTCATATTTTTAATAATGACATAAAACCCTCCATGCATAATCACTCCTGCAAAAAAATTTTTTTAGTGTTTAGGGCCTGTGAATTCTTTTTTGTTTTGTTTTGTTTTGTTTTTTAATCAGTGATCTTCTGCCATTAAGATCCTCTAAAGTCTTGATGTGGCCCTAGGGACAGATCGTTTAACCAGCATGGTGACAGTACCAAAGTGAGAAAATTCCAAGGAGAAAACAAATTTTTTAGGAGCAAAATTGGGAGCAATAAAAATAATCCCCACCCCATCTCCATACTCAAGATTTTTATTTCAATTATTTTTTAAGTTCTAGGGCTTATTTTATAAAGAATGATAATAGGTAAAAACTGTGAAAAAAAATTGGATTTTAAATATTTGTAAAAGAAGTTTATAAAATATTTCCCCGAATTAGGAATAAAAACATGGTTTTTTCTTATAGGATTTAATATCTCCATACACAGTAAAAATGATTTGGTAAGCCATGTTTTAACATAGCATATAGTTGCATTTACAAATTCAAAAAAGTCTTTAAACCGAAATAAGTCCTTAGAATAAAAGTTTTATATAGTGTGTATCCAAATTTAAAAAATATATGTTTCTCCCTATATTTCTCAAGTTGGCTGCTGTTCCACACCTCTGATCCTAAATCCTGTCACAATATCCTCTGAATTTACAAAGCTCAAAATCAGAAGACACCTCTCATTTGTATTACCAGCACCTTAATTTCAGAGTGTGATTTTCAACAGCTTCATATCTTTCTGAGTGTAGGGAATGTATTCTTAGTCATTCTGCCTACCAGGAAGTGACTGGATTCATCTAAGAGCCAATACACTTACATCTAACCCTAGAGGGAATCTCTCTTCTTAAATCTGAAGAAAGGGAAGAAGGAAGGGGGAGATTACATTGAACTACTTTTATATTTAAATCACATCACAGTTATCCCAGAAATGCTAATTTACTAATTTTCAAATTAAAAGATGACTGCCATGAAGTTTTATCTTGAGTAAAGTTCAGAATTATTTTACTAAGTAGCTTCAATAGGTTGGTGGCTTGGATAAATTAAGTTGATGCAGATCTCCCTTTTGTTACACTTAATCTACTATGTCTTCCCCCATTGGGTAATTGTAGGTTTGCTATTAGAGCTGCAAAGCTCTTAATCTTCCTCAGTATGATAACTACAGCCACACTGTCCTGAGGACAATCATGAAAAGAGGGAGAAAGCAGTAGCACATGATGTTCATTCCTCGGGCGCTGATAGTGCTTGTGACATGGGGCATTGTTCTGATTTACTTGAACAAATCTTCAGAGCTTTAAGTGATTTCAACAGAGACTTTAATCTCTTGCTGCAATTAGTGCTCTCCACAGACTTGACATATTATCTAATCATTACATCTCTGGCCTTAACAAATCTCACTGCCCTTTTACTAATTTGATAAAAAAAAAAAAAAAAAAGGCCTTCTGGTTTCCAGAGCTGGTGGTTTTTACCCCTAAAATATATTCCGATAACATTAAAATACATATAAAATGCCCACTTATAGCTCACAATATATATGATAGAAATCCTTTGTTCTCAAAATTCTACACTCTCAGCAGTTCTTGAATTTTCTCGATGTTAAGAGAAATGTGTACAAGCAAGGGTAGAAAGACAAAAAGTGGTTTTCTATTTTATATTTCAGTTTTCACACTGGCTTTGAATACCACAATTATTTTGTGAAAAACTATCCACTCATCTCCACACAAAACCATGCAGACATTTTCTCTGGTTCCTATCTTTCTGTGTCTACTGCCCTTTCCCAAAACATTTTCTTATAAAACTAATTAAACTCAGAACACAAAAGAAGAACAAAAGACACATATCAAACTCATTGCCTCTCATTTTATTTTTCACAGCTGCCAACAAAGAAAGCAGAGAAGAGGAAATACATGGACATAAAACATAATTGACTCGATTTTTTTATCAGCAGCTATAAAGGTCCATAAAAGGATACGGTTAAAGTATTTGCTAGGAGATAGTCTGGACTTAACAGTGGATTGTCATAAGCACAGATAAACAATTCAATGTTGAATTCCATGCTTTTTCTATGCCATGCCTTTATTCATGCTGTTTTTTCCTACTTTGAATGCCCTTTTCTTCCTCACTCTGAAAACTCTACTAAGCCTTCAGGGCCATTTCAAATGCATTCATCAGTGAAGCCATACCCCAAAATACCAAGGCCAAACTATTTCTTCCTCAGTGTTCCAAAAACATATTTTATATTTCACATTACAATTTATAATCCAAACTCCTTACCTATCTCCCCTCCGCAACCACCAGGGTTAAGAAATACCCAGTATTACATAGAGCAGATACATATTTATAGCAAACTGAATTGCCAATAAGCTTATAAGATCTCTTACACAGTAACAATCAGACGTCAAATGGCAAAGCAAAACTTTTTTTCTCATCCCTGTGATTACCTGGAGATATATATCTTTTCAATGAAATATTGAATGGCCATTAAAAATGTGTTTATCAAAAGCTAGGGAATTTTTCTGATATGCCTTTAGGTGAAAAAGGCAGAAAATTAAATTGTATAGATTTTTGATTTCAACTATGTATGAAATATATAGATTGAGAAAAGATTGGAAGAAAATACCAAAGTAAATAGCCTTGAAGATCTTAAAATGATCAAATATATTTAACTCCCCTTTCAAATTCCTAACTTGGAAGTAAGTGAGTGGTACTGACACCCCAAGTAGAACCCCCAATAACAATTCGTGAAACTTAGGGTGGCAGAGGCTACAGAAGAGAGTGCACCATGAAACAACTGTCACTGCAGATTCTGCACGCAGCTCCAGGGAGAGACACCTGTTCCACATACAGAAGAATGGGCCGTGATACTCATTCCTGGCCCACCCTTAGAAAAGCCCAAAGTGGGCAAGAGAAGCTCCTAGGGTGCAAAATTTAAGGAGGCACCCATTCTCAGGTTCCTGCAGGCCTGCTAGGCTTGCCTCACACTAGTCTGAGAGTATCTACCTATTTGGTTACATTAAAAAATAAAATAAAAACAAACCTCTAAAAAGATGTCCATTATTATTATATGGGTGAGATTATTGCCAAGAGGCTGCTGCCTACTCTTGCTCTATATCTTTAAAAGCAGTTAGTCCCCTAATCTAGCTAAGTAAAATTTAAACTAATTGTACTTTTCTTTCTCTCTTAAGAGAAATTATATAAATTCAATATTGGATCAATATACAGTTCTTCCACCCCAAACACAACTATCAATAACAAAATAACAATAGGGAATTAAAAGAAAAAAGCAGCCATAGGAGAGAATTTTTTAGTTTGAAAGAAACTGACCAATCTAAAAGAATTAAAGCAAACACACATTTATGAAGCACATTTACAGCAAAAGCAAGACATTATTAAATATCAATTTAGTATTCTTACGCAAATTTGAAAACACAGCATCTATAAAGAAAAACATAATAGAAACAGATGTCAAAACATACTAAAAATTTATAATAATTAAAAAGTATGATACTAGTACCAAAATAAACATATATTGGAAATGAACACAATAAAAATCTCAGAAACAACTCCATGTATATTAAGAAATGATTGATTTGACTGCACTGATATTTAAAAATTTCTAACTTTAAAACCTCATTGTAAACAAAGTTAAAAGGTAATCAAATGTAAACAAAGCTAAATAGAAAAAGCGAAACTAGGAAAACGACTTTCAACATGAGACAGAGAAAGTAAATATTTTTACTACATAAAGAGCTACTTTAGAAACAGCAACAGAGCAATATCCCCAAAGACAATTCAACTCAAATATATATATATATATATATATATATATATATATATATATATATATATATATATATATAGAGAGAGAGAGAGAGAGAGAGAGAGAGAGAGAGAGAGAGAGCACTGCATTAGTTTGCAAGCGCTGCCATAACAAAATACCACAGGCAAGGTGGCTTAAACAACAGAATTTTATTTTCTCACAATTCTGGAAGCTAAAAATCCAAGATCAAAGTGTTGGCAGAGTTGGTTTCTTTTGAGGCCTCTTTCTTTGATTTGAGGATGGCTCCCTGCATCTTCCCATGGTTCTTCCTCTGTGTCCAAATCTCCCCTTCTAAAATCAGCTCTTCCTCTACACAGTGTCTCACACCTGTAATCCCAGCACTTTGAGAGGCCGAGGCAGGCAGATCACGAGGTCAAGAGACCGAGACCATTCTGGCCAACATGGTGAAACCCCATCTCTATTAAAAATACAAAAATTAGCTGGGTGTCGTGGCGTGTGCCTGTAATCCCAGCTACTCGGGGGGCTGAGGCAGGAGAATCGCTTGAACCCAGGAGGCGGAGGTTGCAGTGAGCCGAGATCGCGCCACTGCACGGCAGCCTGGTGACAGAATAAGATTCCATTGAAAGAAGACAGAAGGAGAAAGAAAGAGAAAGAGAAGGAAAGAGAGGGAAAGAGAGGGAAAGGAGAGGAGAGGAGAGGAGAGGGGAGGGGAGGGGAGGGGAAGGGAGGGGAGGGGAGGGGAGGGGAGGGGGGAGAGAAGAGGAGAGGAGAGGAAAGGAAATACATATGTATTTGAGGACATATGTCAAACATGATATCAGGATAAATGTCTATCAAGAGGAGGCAATGGAAGTGGCAGCACTAGGAACAAAGGAAGGAAAAGAAAACATGAAATAAAACAGAGGGAAAAAAACAAAGAAGGTAGAGCGTGAATTGATAATAACAACATGCTATGAACTGAGAAGTATTATAAATTCAGGTCTCTCTATCTGAGGGCCGCAAAAGAGAGGGAAGATGAAAACTATCCCATATAAATTTTTTAAATTAATGAAATGCCAATTAGGAGTCCAATTTTTGAACCTGAATCAGATTTAAAATTTAATTTAGAAGCATAAACAGTTAAGAATGAGCATTAAAATCTTCTACAAAAAGGGGAGATAAGATTTACACTTCCAGTCATTACCAAAAACAAAAGTTTACAATAATTAACATAAGATAGTATGTGTGGCAGAAGAAAATACAGTCAGGGAAACAAAGTTCAGAAGTGTACCAAAGATTGTGTTAGATTCAGGGTTTGGAGGAGTTGGCCTTTCTTCAGTCTCACAGCAAGCCATTTATCTATGCTCTTAAAGCATACTCTCCCATCTCATCTATTGATTGGAAAGATGTCCAGAATACACTAAATCAACAGTGAATTGCCTATCAACTCAAGTAAATAATTTTACTTATTTTTATGATCATTCTAATAATAAAAAATTACCTAGAAGAACCCTCAGATTTTATCTAATCCAATAATTCTTAAATGGTTGTCATCAAAGCACTCCCACTTGGCTTGTTTAAAGATGTTCTTTGAAACCAACGAGAACAAACACACAACATACCAGAATCTCTGGGACACATTCAAAGCAGTGTGTAGAGGGAAATTTATAGCACTAAACGCCCACAGGAGAAAGCAGGAAAGATCCAAAATTGACACCCTAACATCACAATTAAAAGAACTAGAAAAGCAAGAGCAAACACATTCAAAAGCTAGCAGAAGGCAAGAAATAACTAAAATCAGAGCAGAACTGAAGGAAATAGAGACACAAAAAACCCTTCAAAAAACTAATGAATCCAGGAGATGGTTTTTTGAAAGGATCGACAAAATTGATAGACTGCTAGCAAGACTAATAAAGAAAAAGAGAGAGAAGAATCAAATAGACGCAATAAAAAATGATAAAGGGGATATCACCACCGATCCCACAGAAATACAAACTACCATCAGAGAATACTACAAACACCTCTACGCAAATAAACTAGAAAATCTAGAAGTGGATAAATTCCTCGACACATATACCCTCCCAAGACTAAACCAGGAAGAAGTTGAATCTCTGAATAGACCAATAACAGGATCTGAAATTGTGGCAATAATCAATAGCTTACCAACCAAAAGAGTCCAGGACCAGACGGATTCACAGTCGGATTCTACCAGAGGTACAAGGAGGAACTGGTACCATTCCTTCTGAAACTATTCCAATCAATAGAAAAAGAGAGAATCCTCCCTAACTCATTTTATGAGGCCAGCATCATCCTGATACCAAAGCCGGGCAGAGATACAACCAAAAAAGAGAATTTTAGAACAATATCCTTGATGAACACTGATGCAAAAATCCTCAATAACATACTGGCAAACCGAATCCAGCAGCACATCAAAAAGCTTATCCACCATGATCAAGTGGGCTTCATCCCTGGGATGCAAGACTGGTTCAATATACACAAATCAATAAATGTAATCCAGCATATAAACAGAACCAAAGACAAAAACCACATGATTATCTCAATAGATGCAGAAAAGGCCTTTGACAAAATTCGACAATGCTTCATGCTAAAAACTCTCAATAAATTAGGTATTGATGGGATGTATCTCAAAATAATGAGAGCTATCTATGACAAACCCACAGCCAATATCATACTGAATGGGCAAAAACTGGAAGCATTCCCTTTGAAAACTGGCACAAGACAGGGATGCCCTCTCTCACCACTCCTATTCAACATAGTGGTGGAAGTTCTGGCCAGGGCAATTAGGCAGAAGGAAATAAAGGGTATTCAATTAGGAAAAGAGGAAGTCAAATTGTCCCTGTTTGCAGATGACATGATTGTATATCTAGAAAACCCCATTGTCTCAGCCCAAAATCTGCTTAAGCTGATAAGTAACTTCAGCAAAGTCTCAGGATACAAAATCAATGTACAAAAATCACAAGCATTCTTATATACCAATAACAGACAAACAGAGAGCTAAATCATGAGTGAACTCCCATTCACAATTGCTTCAAAGAGAATAAAATACTTAGGAATCCAACTTACAAGGGACGTGAAGGACCTCTTCAAGGAGAACTACAAACCACTGCTCAATGAAATAAAAGAGGATACAAACAAATGGAAGAACATTCCATGCTCATGGGTAGGAAGAATCAATATTGCAAAAATGGCCATACTGCCCAAGGTAATTTACAGATTCAATGCCATCCCCATCAAGCTACCAATGCCTTTCTTCACAGAATTGGAAAAAACTACCTCAAAGTTCATATGGAACCAAAAAAGAGCCTGCATCGCCAAGTCAATCCTAAGCCAAAAGAACAAAGCTGGAGGCATCACGCTACCTGACTTCAAACTATACTACAAGGCTACAGTAACCAAAACAGCATGGTACTGGTACCAAAACAGAGATGTAGATCAATGGAACAGAACAGAGCCCTCAGAAAGAATGCCGCATATCTACAACTATCTGATCTTTGACAAACCTGACAAAAACAAGAAATGGGGAAAGGATTCCCTATTTAATAAATGGTGCTGGGAAAACTGGCTAGCCATATGTACAAAGCTGAAACTGGATCCCTTCCTTACACCTTATACAAAAATTAATTCAAGATGGATTAAAGACTTAAGTGTTAGACCTAAAACCATAAAAACCCTAGAAGAAAACCTAGGCATTACCATTCAGGACATAGGCATGGGCAAGGACTTCATGTCTAAAAGACCAAAAGCAATGGCAACAAAAGCCAAAACTGACAAATGGGATCTAATTAAACTAAAGAGCGTGTGCACAGCAAAAGAAACTACCATCAGAGTGAACAGGCAACCTACAAAATGGGAGAAAATTTTCGCAACCTACTCATCTGACAAAGGGCTAATATCCAGAATCTACAATGAATTCAAACAAATTTACAAGAAAAAAACAAACAACCCCATCAAAAAGTGGGCGAAGGACATGAACAGACACTTCTCAAAAGAAGACATTTATGCAGACAAAAAACACATGAAAAAATGCTCACCATCACTGGCCATCAGAGAAAGGCAAATCAAAACCACAATGAGATACCATCTCACACCAGTTAGAATGGCGATCATTAAAAAGTCAGGAAACAACAGGTGCTGGAGAGGATGTGGAGAAATAGGAACACTTTTACACTGTTGGTGGGACTGTAAACTAGTTCAACCATTGTGGAAGTCAGTGTGGCGATTCCTCAGGGATCTAGAACTAGAAATACCATTTGACCCAGCCATCCCATTACTGGGTATATACCCAAAGGACTATAAATCATGCTGCTATAAAGACACATGCACACGTATGTTTATTGCGGCACTATTCACAATAGCAAAGACTTGGAACCAACCCAAATGTCCAACAATGATAGACTGGATTAAGAAAATGTGGCACATATACACCATGGAATACTATGCAGCCATAAAAAATGATGAGTTCGTGAAACCCCGTCTCTACTAAAAATACGAAAAATTAGCCGGGCACGGTGGCGGGTGCCTGTAGTCCCAGCTACTCGGGAGGCTGAGGCAGGAGAATGGCGTGAACCCGGGAAGCGGAGCTTGCAGTGAGCCGAGATTGCGCCACTGCAGTCTGCAGTCCGGCCTGGGCGACAGAGCGAGACTCCGTCTCAAAAAAAAAAAAAAAAAAAAAAAAAAATGATGAGTTCATGTCCTTTGTAGGGACATGGATGAAATTGGAAATCATCATTCTCAGTAAACTATCGCAAGGACAAAAAACCAAACACCGCATGTTCTCACTCATAGATGGGAATTGAACAATGAGAACACATGGACACAGGAAGGGGAACATCACACTCTGGGGACTGTTGTGGGGTGGGGGGAGGGGGGAGGGATAGCATTAGGAGATATACCTAATGCTAAATGACGAGTTAATGGGTGCAGCACACCAGCATGGCACATGTATACATATGTAACTAACCTGCACATTGTGCACATGTACCCTAAAACTTAAAGTATAATAATAATAAAAATAAAAAATAAAAATAAATAAATAAAATAAATGTTTATTCCTTTACAATCTCACAAAGTCTAAAGAAGGAGTGGCACTCAGAAAGTGAGGCTGTCCATTTGGCTATCCAGTGTGGAATCCTCCACACCCTCTGATGTGGTTCGGATTTGTGTCCCCACCCAAATCTCATGTCAAATTGTAATCCCCAGTTCTGGAGGAGGGACCTGGTGAGAAGTAACTGGATCATGGGAGTTGACATCCCACTTGCTGTTCTCATGATAGTGAGTGAGTTCTCACAAGATCTGGTTGTTTAAAAGTGTGTAGCACCTTCCCCTTCACTCTTTTCGTACTTCCCCTGCCATGTAAGACGGGCCTGCTTCCCCTTCACCATCCACCATGATTGTAAATTTCCTGAGGCCTCCACAGCCAGGCGTCCTGTACAACCTGCAGAACTGTGAGTCAATTAAATCTCTTTTCTTTATAAATTGCCCAGTCTCAAGCAGTTCTTTATAGCAATGCGAGAACAAACTAATACACCCTTCCCACCCATTTTCCCAGCACTCTGGGTACCCTCTATTTACAAGTGTTTTTCATCTATTCATACTCTGGGTATCCTCTATTTAAAAGTGTTTTTCATCTATTTGTAGCCTCTACCCTACCCCCACTCCCCCCAACCTAAAGTCTCTGGTTCATCTTTAACGTTTGCAGGTGTTGGGGGAGGTTTCCAGAAAGAAGTAACTTCCAAGGTGAGACTTGAAGGAGAATGAATAGGACTTAGCCATATGAAGGAGGTGGCATGGGGGAAAAGCCAAAAGTTACAGATGACTTGACAGCAACTTGAACAAGTAGACCCAAGACGACTCAATGACTGGCTAGGAGGCACACTGCAAGGCAGCAGGAAAGCACGATACTCTTTTCTGAACCTGGGTACCTGAGAGGACAGGAATAGGATTAATTAAATTAGAAAACATGGCACAAAGCAGAATAAAATCTGCAGTTTGAAAGACATCAAGGAAAATACTATGTCCATTGGAAATATGGTGCTTTGATGCTGGTACGATTTAAGCTAGATGTTCAGATCAGGATCCACAGCAGCCAAGCTCGGAGAAGTGAGAATGGATGATGTTACCAATGGCCTGAGTGTAGAGAGAGAAGATCAGAGCTGGAGTGACAGAACACTGGGAAAACTCATTTCAGCCAACTGGGAGATTAAGTGAAGAAAAGAAAGATGAAGAAAAAATGGAGCAAAGAAAAAAACAGAAGTGTAACGTAAGAGGAACATCTGTATATTTCAATATGAAAGAATCCAACAGGAAACAAGAAAACAAAACAGTTGTAAAAACTAAAACTATATAAATGTGGGAGAAACAAATAATTTTAAATAATTTAAGTTGCAGTTTAATCATCAAACTAAAAAGTAAAAAATAGTCTCTTAAAATACACATTTTAATTTTGGATAAGTAAATATTTTTAGAATAAACTAATTCAATTTATTAATAATTAGACTATAATCATCTTATCTCTACGTTAATGTTCAGTTACATATTAAAAATATACATTATCCATTAAGATAGTCAACATTAATAAAATTACATTGTAATAGTTTAGGATAATTTTCCTTTCACTAAAAACAAAATATAGTTACATAAAACATTCATTTAATATTTATTGCATATGAACCAAAAGTAAAATAAGTAAAAAAGAAAAAAAAATCATCCAATGTCCTCTGTAAATATTCCTGACGGCCATGACTACCCCACATCTTTTGAATGAACAGCCTTTCTATATTTGGAAAATTCTCATCTCAAGAATTCACTTTCCCAGCATAAAAGTCAGAACACAAAATGCAGTCTCCTTAGCATTCAGGCAGGTGGCTTAGTCTAAAATGTGCCTGTACAAAACTTGGAATCAGATATCAGCAACATGAGGTAATGGGCTCTGTGTGGAAGTTCCTCCTTACCTGCAATCCATGTGTGGGTGGTGGCAGAGGTGTCTGGGCTTCAACTGCAATAGCAGTGGGGGGAAGACTTCACCCTATTTGATCACTGAAGTTCTCAGTACAAATGACTTTGCAGATGCAGCATGGGTGGCATTAGTTTCTTCTGAAGCACCACAGGACAACAGTAGCGAATGATGGTTTCCTCATCAGGTTACAGGTGGAACATGGATTAGATTTTTTTTTTTCTGATTCTCTATGCATCCTAATATTTCTGTGCTAACGTCATTTTTTCAGAACTCCATAGAATTCACTACTGACTGGTGCTGATGCATCTGCCAAAAAAAGAAATCTAGTACCTACTACCTGAAGGCGCTCAGCGATGAAACTGCTAATTAAATTACCCCTGTGGGCCAGGCGCAGTGGCTCATGCCTGTAAGCCCAGCACTTTGGGAGGCTGAGCATATATATATATATATATATATATATATATATATATATATATATATATATATATATAAAACCCCTGTGGTCACTGGGATGAAGGAACCATTGGAGGCAATGCATTGGAGGCAATGCCTTGAGGGATCTAGTGACCACGGCCATAGAAAGGCATGAAGAACGTGAAGAGCACGAGGAATTGGAGTTTTGTAAGAAACTGCCTGCTACTTACTCTACTGGAGAGCTTAAATGAAGACAAGGTCAAAGTCCTAAACTCTCACCTCAAGGCAAAGATTTAAAAGCACAGAATTTCTTTAACAGTGGGATAAAAAGTTATTCACAGCTATAACAAGGCCAAAGTAGCTAAAAATAATTTTTTTCTTGCTGCTTCCTTATCTTAATCAGGAAGTATCGACTTTATAGCTTCATCAAGTTTTTTATGTGAAAGGCAGAACAATAATTGGGAAATATTATGCCCCCAAACATTAGAATGGAAACGTATAGGAGGTTTGAAATAACCTAAATTACTCCAGTATCTATGTCTTCTGAGGAGCCCTTGCCAAAAGCAGCCCATTCCCTCCTGATTTATAGGGCTGTTTTTAATTTGCTTGAAGAGCAAGGTCTTTCAAGACTTTTTCTAAAGCAGCTATTTTTTAAGGAAGAGACAATTCCTCTCAAACCCCTTCGGATTGTCACTGGACCTATAACCAGAATCAAAGTGTGGCATTCCATAGAGAGCCAGTTACAAAATTCAACCCGACAGAAAAAACCTAATCGTGAAAAGAACCGCAAGGGTGATTATTTTAACATTAAAAAAATTGGAGAGGATGTCTGGGAATTGACTCTAAGGGCACAAGGCCAAGAGCGGACTAACAATTTTGAGAATCATTTATCAATATGAGTTTACTTACCAAGGATTCCGAATTTGATGTATTGGCTTGAGCAGCTGCAAATGGTTTTAATTTTTTGTTTACTTGGTGACGACCTTCTTCTCAATGTCACTACATTAAATGAAGTCGAAGGGTCTGTCAGGAAATCCTTGGTATAATGCATTGAAAGGTATCCAGCAATTTGGGGAGATAGTAAGGCTGAAGTTCATTTATCATGAATGGCTCACTCACTCATCCTCCTTTGTCTCCCAAGAAAACCTAGAAGACATTCTCTAATTAAGTAATTTAGAAATACCTTGGTTGAGGCGGGTACCAGCATCTGTGAAAAGTGTCATAGTGTCTGTTCTCTGTAGAGCAGGATGCTGGTGGTGGTGGCCACAAGAGACACAAGGATGATGATTCTATTGGAATGATTAGATCTCAGGACGGTATCAGCCTAGGGGCTGAACTTCACCACCAAAAAGAAAAGAGGGCATAATTATTGTTGAGTGGTAGCCAGGATGTTCTGAGTAGTAGTGACTTTTGGTATTAAATAATTGATGAGAGGCCTGAGAGAAATAGGCAGCCTTCGGAAGTTCTATATGATTTGTATAACTCAAAAACCTCTGGATCTGTTAAACAGGCCTGACGTGAGTCACCAAAATAGAGACACAGCCTTTCACATAATACTTAGGTCTGAGTTAGTTCACAGACCCAGAGCTTCTTAAATGAAAGGGAGGTTAGCTACCTGTAGTACATTCCATAACTCCTCTTCCTAATTTTCCCCAAGGGCACCTGAGGCCATTAGGGGTAGGGAAATGCCTAGATCTTTAGGCAACTGTTGCACATTAAGTAAATGTTAAACCCTAGGAATCCAGAAAGTTACTATTGTAAACTAGTCACAGATAAATGGAGTTCAGATACAAATCAGTCTTGCAGACAGCTCAGTATGATAATGGACGCATCCTACGGTCCTTTTCCCAGGTCCTTAGCATATAGTTGGACTAGACAAACTAAGAAACAGAAAATGCTGAATGCTGATGTTAACTCTTTTTTTTTTTTTTCTTGAGGTGGAGTTTCACTCTTGTTGCCCAGGCTGGAGTGCAATGGCACAATCTCGGATCACTGCAACTTCCGCCTCCCAGAATCAAGCAATTCTCCTGCCTCAGCCTCCCGAGTAGCTGGGATTACAGGCATGCGCCACCACGCCCAGCTGACATTAACTCTTTAATGTAATGTCTGTTATGGTAGGAATGGCCAAGTGGAACCTTCTGGAATGCCATCTTTTCATCTAAATAGTACATTTAAAGGAACACCAGATATCTTTGGAGAATTATAAAAATTAGTGCCACCACCAAATTCTTGGAGGCCACTGAGGTACAAATTCCTAACACTTTCCTACTTAACTCCAAGACAGGTCTTAGAGAAGGAAAACTTTATCAAGTGATTATGTCAATTGAAGCCTCCAGTCCAGTTGTGGTGGCCTCTTCACTAAAGTAAAGCAAACCAACTCCTAGCACCTGACATGCAGCTTGTGATCTGGAAATTCTTTTTCTACTGACCACTAAAGAAACAATACTCAACGCAGCTTGTTCTCACTCAGCAGTAGCAGAAGTTAACTTTCATTATTTTGCCTCAGGGTAAACCACCTCTCAGGGCTGGTAAAACAATCTAGTCTACTTGGACTTTTACTGTTTCCCATTTTGCAGAACATGATGCTAGTGCATTATATTAACAGAGTCATACTGATGGAATCTGGGAACTAGGAAGTATAAAGTAAACTTGATACTTTGCTAAGTCACGTGTGTGGTCAAGCACTCGAAATAATCCATGAAAATACAGGGACCTGAAACCTTATTAAAGATTCTGGGGCTCCAGTGACCTAAGGTATGTTAGAATATTCCCTACAAAGCAAAAGGAAAATAGCCATGCCTGTCATCTCCACTGCCAAGAAACAAGTCTAACGTCCAGGGGACTTCTTTGGATTCTGGACGCAACGTTCATTGTATGCTGCACTGCCACCTCCCTCTCAACCCACGCTTCTGGTCCTAGGGAGAGCTCCTTGTGGCCAGCTGACTGAGGAAGGACAGATTGCTGGAGCATTATTATGCAATTCAAGTGGCCTTGCACAGAACAATGGGGATGTAAAATCCAACCAGTGAGAAGTTTAAAATGCCCATATGGATTAACAGAATCTTTGAAGTAAGATGACTAGAGGATTAGACATGAAGGGTATGGAGAAAGAGGCACAGGGATAGACCTCTCAGAAAGGGCCAAAAACGTGAAAATATTTATGTCTCATATGTAGAGCATGCCACCTCTACACAAGAGGCTCCCTACAAAAATGAAAGAAAAGATAATGCGGCCTGTGAATGTCAGTCAATTTCCTTTCCCAGATTACCCAGTACTTGCTTAATAAATTTATTAACAAAATGGCCACGGTGGCAAGGGTGGAGGTTTGCAATGTTTCGTCAATACATATTTCAGCTCACCTGGGATTATCTCATTGCAGAGAAACAAACTTTCAAGCAATAGAAACTGACAGTGAACTTCCAAGAGGATACCAATCCCAAAGGGCCAATCAGCTACCCAGTAGCAGTTAATTTCATTGAATTTTCCCATCACGGAAGGCCAGTAATTTGTCCTTACAAAACAGACATTTTCTCTGGATTTGGATTTACTTTCCCTTTTAGCCACTCTTCTGCCATAAACTATCATCTGAGTACTTACTGAATGTGTCATTGAGTGTCACAATATCACATACGTTGCTTTTAACAAACAACTAATTTGAAAGTAAAATAAGGAAGAA
This sequence comes from Homo sapiens, assembly GCF_000001405.40. NCBI lineage: Eukaryota > Metazoa > Chordata > Mammalia > Primates > Hominidae > Homo > Homo sapiens. The sequence goes on along the minus strand of NC_000002.12, from coordinate 21,181,478 downwards.
TAATTTTTACTGTTTATGGAATTCATTGGTCTTAACAGGTACCTCATTACCCAAATGCAACTCTCCATTAAAAATGGTGAATTAGTTGAAGATGCACTTCTCATAGTCTCCAAAAGACAATAACTTAAATACCTTGTGATGCAGTCCTAATAGATGAAGAATATACTCTGAACCAGCGATCCATGTATGTCCCATATTTTCCATAGCCAGAATAAACAGTTCCAGGAACCAAATGGTGGAAATCACATCTAACTTTTACAACTAATGACTTAATTGCAAAATGTTTGTGTCTCATTACTATTCTGGGCTCTTCTATTTTAGATGTTCTCATTACCCAAGAGAATGCTTTCATTCAGGGGTGCAAGAGTCAGTCCAAATAAAAACTCAAAACAAAACAGCCTGCTACCTGGCTATTTATGACTCCTAATACCACTGGATGAATAAATTCTTTAGAAAATGCAGGGAAGGGTTGTAATGTTGTTGGCTGGAGTGATTGCTCCTAATTTTCAATGAAAAATAGGAATGCTTTTTCACAACTGGGACAGGGAAGAGAATGAATATAACTCAAGATCCCCTGGAGGGCCTCCTGGCACTACCCTACCTGGGGCTACAGAAGAGTAGGATGATGCCATCCAGGCAAGACTACAAAGGCTCAAATCCCCCAGAAACAAAGGTTTGCATCCCCTATCATGTAAAGAGATAAGACCAGCTAAGGTGCTGGATGAAAGGAAAGAAGCCATGAAACAAATGCATGATAAGAAAGAGAATGAAAACATAGTAACTATGGACTTGTAACTAGTTGAAGAAGCAAGAGCTGTATCATGTCCCCATATTTTCTTCCTTGCTTTTTGTAAATGTATTTATAAATTATACCTAATTTCTTTGCCCACTCCAGTTCCACTACTATTTTTGTCTGGGATGTTTTGATAGTGGCTAATTTCACATTTTAGTCCACAAGTTATAGAATGTCAAAACAGGATTACAATAAAACCAGAAAAGAAATGGATATCACTCAGAGAGGCCAGACTTACAGTCAAATGAATTAATTTAGGATACTTTGGGTTGTCTCTTTTGAGGATATTGTGATCATGTATTCATTTTCATTTTAAATGATAGTTGTATTGCATCAACAAATAGCATTTTACATATTTTAAAGGTTTGAGTATGGAATATGAGTGTTTATTGATATGGGGTAGCCAAAGAACCAGAAGGGACATACCGTATTTTTGGCCAACCAGAAAAGAGCAATGTGAGAAAACCAGAAAAGAGCAATGTGAGAAAACCAGTTCTGCCTGAAGCTTCCTTTTTTTTTTTTTTTTTTTTGGCACTAGTGGCAGGAACAGCCATTTCTTATTGATTTTAAGGTTCCATTTCTGAATCAGAAATGGTATTGGTAGGGAACAATGACTAGCAACAATTGCATCTAGGGTTACATAGGGATAGTAGCAACAGTGACAGTTTTCTCATTGGGCAAGTTATGCAACATGATTTCAGATAATTCTATCAGATACCTAATAACCTTTGCAGTTAATTTCTTCATTGCTTAATTCAGCCAAAGTCAGCTTCTGTGGCTGTCAAATGAAAAAATAAAGTCCTAGAAGGAAACAAATGGTATAGTTAGGGGTCTTTGAAGACACTTTAATAAAGGTCTATAGAAGGGGTTAAAGGGAATCAACAAGGGATGGTGCAGTACCCTAGGGACTAGCAACAAGAAATCCCCTAAGCCTTAAGGAGGAAGGGGACAAAGTGGATACTAAAACCCAGTGAGAGTAGCTGTAGGAGAGGATCACCAGGTCAGAGCTGTGGTCCTCAGAAAAGGAACACAGCAAGCCCATGGTAAGTTGGTAGTGAGGAAGGAAGGCAAATAAACATGCCAATCTCATTATTTTCCCACACATAGATCTCCTGTCTATGTATCCCATTGGCCAAACCTAAACAAAATCCAGAGGATAAGATATCCCATTGATGTAATCCATAAAGTCAGCCTCTGGGAAACAGAAAAGGCTGAAAAAGAGTGGATAGTAAATTTGGAGGGAAAAACAGAAAATATCTAGCACACTCTGACAAATACACCCTCTCACTAGACATTTTAGTTTATTTCCAGGTTTACATGGCAATGGTTGTTGGGGTGATGATATTAAGATTTATCGAATTATTTGATAATGCCACAAAGTATAGAATTTCTTAGATAAGAGGGAGAAAGTGATCTGAAAGAGTAAGCAAGAGTATTTAGGACTGATGAATACTTTGGGTCTCCCACTCCTTTTTACCCTGTATGTCTATTGAACATCCTCCCAGTCCAGTAAACCATCCCCATATCCTTTTAGTTTTAAGCATAAAAGTGCAAGAATTTCAAAATCCAATTTGTTTTACTAAAATCTGAAAGATTTTTTTCAAGCAAAAGAAAAAAAAACTTTAAATCATCCTTTTAAAAATCTCTTTATCTTTCACATCCAATCTATCAGAGTCTTGATACCTCCATCTCCAAAATATATCCCATATACATATACTTTTTACCATATTTACCACTACTACTGTAATCTAAACTACCATCATTGCTCACATAATCTTTTAGATGAGAAAAAAAAGTAAAACTGCTTCTTCACATTTCATCAATTCTATACATTATTCCTCTGCTTGATTTTCCTAACAGCAATTACCATTATCCAAAATCATATTGCTCATTTATTGTTTACTTCTCACTGTCTGTCTCCAAAATGAGATGTTAAATTCCATGAGAGTTGAGAGCTGACTCTTTTATTTACAGATATTCTCCAGGTCAGGGACAGTGCCTGACAAATAGTAGATGCTGAATAAATGTTTGCCAAATAAATAAATAAATGAATCCTAAAGTATTCCTCAATATTGGGATTACTAGTACTCACTATCCTGTACTTCAGTCAATTTCTATACTGTTGTTTCGGTGCATTTGATGTAAGCAGTTTTGAGAGGGAGTATGTAGATTGAAACTGATTCTTCATGTTGATTAATACTACATGGTTACTGATTAACCTTATTGGTGTTCAATTTGTATGTAACTATTAAAAGAGAAAATGATTCTATTAAATTGTATTCATGATGTACTATAAAGGCAATGAATGAGTTACATTATAAGAGGTTAAAATAACAATACCCTCTTTGTTTTTCTATTTGCCCAAGAGGCTATTTTGGTTTTGAACATTAAAATGCAAACAATTTTTAAATCAGATTGGTTATCTAAAGTCTGTAGAAAACAATGACAGAAAATAAATGATACTATAGTTTTTTACAAAACCAAAACTGGAAGGTTACAGAAACAAAATTGAAAGGTTCATCAAAAAAATTTGCTAATTGCTCTCTCGGTAACAATAATTCTCAGTAAATAATTCTTTCACTGAAGACCTTGGGAAATAGGATCCCCGATCTCAAGGAACTCAAAACCTATGTAAGATCAAAATCAATAAAATTAAATACAACATAAGGTGAAAAGTGATTTAATACCGTAGTCCCCCTTATCTTCAGGGGATAGTTCCAAGACCTTCAGTGGATTCCATAAAACCATGGGTCATACCAAAACAGAAATATACAGTCATCCCTCAGTACATCTGGGGGATTGGCTCTAGCACCCCCATGAATACCAAAATCTGCAAATGCTCAAGTCCTGGATATAAAATGGTGTAGTATTTGCATATAGCCTATGCATATCCTCCCGTATACTTGAAATTGTCTCTAACTTACTTATAAGACCCGATACAATGTAAATGCTATGTAAATTTATATTTACATTGCCCAAGAGGCCATATTGTTTTATGTGTATCATTTTTTATTGTTGTCTTGTTATTTTTATTGAAATAAAAAATATTTCAATAAAATATTTTTGTTATTTTTGTTGTCACATTTTCTATCTGCAGTTGACTGAACCCATCGATTTGGGTTGTGGATGTGGGACCCTGTACTATGTTTTTTTTTCCTACACATACATACCGATGATAAAGTTTAACTTGTAAATTAGGCATGGTAAGAGATTAACAACAATAATTATAACAATATACTGTAATAAAAGTTACGTAAATGTGGTCTCTCTCACTCTCTCAGAATACCTTATTGTACTAGACTCCCCTGTTTTTGGACTGCAGCTGACTGCAGGTAACCGAAACAGTGGAAAGCAAAACTACACATAAGAAGGGATTACTGTAACAGTGCAAACAAAACCATGACAACACGAAAGAGGTGGCTCTATCACTTTTGCTAGAAGAGTTAAGGAAGGCTTCAAAAGTTACACCTGAGCTGAACATCAAGTCTAGAATCTAGGTAGGGTCAGGGTCAGGAGAATTCGCTATGCTAACGAGTTTGGATTCTACCCTGCACTCAATGCAGTCTCTGACAGATTTTAGTTGGAAAAAAAAATACAGCTGGGTCATTTTTGTTTTAGGTAAATTAGCTTCATAGGATTGCAGAGGGCCAAAATTGGACAGAAAAGAGAGCAGAGGCAGAGAGAGCAATTAAAAGGTTATTGCTGTTTGTGGGGTGAAAGAAAAACAGAGCAGAGATCATCAACCTCTTCGTAAGGTGACGATGAAACAAAAGGCAAATTTCTCTTCTAATGTTTAGGTCAAATAGCATGTAAGCTATGAACTATTTTTCTCCTCCTGGCATTGGCATAAAGAGATTTTTTTGTGTGGCCACTGCTGAAAGTAAGGTAAATAAAACTCAGTGAGTAAAAATTGAAAAATTATTTAATTCTCCCTTCTGGGGTGTTTCTTCTTTCAAGTATGAAGAAATCCTATTTGCTAAGAACTCCAGAGGAAATGTATTTATTGTTATATTTAGGTACCTCATGTGGTACATGTAGTCTCCACATTACATGGCACTGTGGAAAAATGATTCCAAAAATAAAAGAGATAGAGTGATAAAGTCAGCCAATGTCCCCATTCATTTGGGAATGAACAAGCAGATCCAACCTGCCTGGCCAGTTAGAAGATCCTTGCCACCAAAGACGTTCTGAAATCTACTTTATGACTCTTATTGTCTCTCTACTCTGCTGTGTCAGGAAGGCACGCTGTAGTTACACCTATTTTATCACAAGTTATTTTTCCCTTCTGAACTCTTTCCTGTCTGGCCCTTTTCCCCTCTAACACATTTCCCTTGGCTCTAACATTCCATCACTCAGCATTACCCGCACATTTTCACTTTCTTCAACAGCCTGTTCTCTTCTGACCTTACTTTACCAGAGAATCAGCTAAGAACCCTGATCTTCAAATACATTCGCCTCTGGTTGCTTTATATTCTATGATTCTTCTCTAGTACAACTTGCTAACCACTCCACACCTTCCTTGATATAGGTAATAATATCTCTAATGAGTAAAGTTGCTAGAAATATACAAATGAGGAGTAAAAAAAATGCATTTCAGTTTAAGCATGTATTCTTAAGGTTACTTCTCTCGGATAGTCAACCTATCACAAAAAGTCAGTACTGGGTCTCCATCTGGTGGCCAAAATTTCTACTTTTAAATTCTAAAAGATATCTTTATTTTTCACTCCATCTTCCTAAGAATGACTTATCAAAGATGAAATATATGATGAATTATCCTAAAAGGAATGCACAATCAAATTAATAATTCAGAAGGTTATAAGTTTAATAATGCACAAATTAAAGACATCCTTAGAAAATACAGTCCAGCAATCTTAAAAATGGAGCCCAATCTCATGCAGAACAACAAATAAGAAAGCAGATGTACTCTAAATTGAGCACAGAGAGAAATTCGGTCACACTCAAAAATTGCATTTTAAAAGGACATATTATATGTCAGCAATTTCCCTAAGTACAGGGATTACAGTGAAAAAGACAAGCAAATTTCTTCCTTTAAAAAACTTACATTCTTGTGGAGGAAGATAAAAATATATCTGCATTATAATGTGAGTTTGGCATTAAGGTTATGAAGTAAAATAGAGTAAGGAAACAGTTACGGAGATGAGAATATGTTACTTTGTGAAGAATGGTCAGGATTCACCTCTATAATAAGACAATGTTTAAACAATAGACTTAAGTGAGAGATGTATATATTCCTGAGAAAAAGTATGTTGGGGCAGCAATGGCGTGTACAAAGGACCTGAGGCAGAAACGTGGTTAAAGATCTGTACAGGAACAGTGTGGCTAGAGAATGTGAGTAATGGGAATAGTGGGAGATGAGGTCAGAAAGACAGTGAAGGGCCAGATGTGCAGGGATTTGCAGGCTGTACAGATTCTGTGAATTTTATTTAAATGTGGAGGAGAGCCCTTGGAAGTTTCGGACATGATCACATTTGGGTTTTCATTGGCTCCGACTATGTGAAGAACAGACTTGGTGTGTGCTGGGGGGTGGGCAAAGGGAGTAGCAGAGAGGCCGAAGAGCAGTCTGTTGCAGTAATCCAGGTGAGAAACTGATGGTGGAGTGGAGGGGGTAAAGGTTAAGAGGGCTGTGTTTTAAAGGGAACGCCAATAGGAATGCCTGTGGGATATGACAGAAAAACAGCAATGAACAATAATGCTAAAGTTTTTGTCATGACAACCAGGTGAACCAGAAGCCAATCACTAAGGTGGAGAACACTGGGGAAAGAGCAGGTATGGGGGAGGAAGACAAGAATTAAATTTAAAACATACATTTAAATTGCCTTTTAGGCATCCTCGTGAAAATGTCAAGGACACAATAGAATATACGGGTCTACACTTCAGGGGAGATGTAAGAAATGAAGCTATACACCTCAAACAATTGGTTGGCACATCGTATCGGTAAATGGAAAAATATGGATGTGTTCTTCAATATAATCCACGAGAAAGAGTAAAACACATCTTAAATTGAAGGCAGAATAATTCAGAACATGTGGGTAAACTTTTTAATTGAGTAATCAGAGCTCCTCCTACATGCTGACCATATATCCTAAGCACCATAATATACGAAGAAAATACACTGGCTAACATAGGGAGACCTTGTCTCTCCAAAAAGTAATCAGTTGGGTGTAGTGGTACATGCCTGTAGTCCTAGCTACTGAGAAGACTAAGGAGGGAGGATCCCTTGAGCGAAGAAGTTTGAGATTACAGTGAGCTTTGCCCGTGCCACTGCACTCCAGCCTGGATGACAGAGGAAGACCCTGTCAAGAAAAAAAAAAGGAAGAGAAAGAAAAGGTCCAGTCACTGCCCAGAAGCTTGTAGCCCTAGTAGAGTGATAAGATAAATGAACTTTTAAAAATTTAGCAAGAAACAAACATTTGCTCAGTATGTGAGAATAAGCAGGATGGTAGAAGAGAATAGGTGAAGATACCCAGGAGGTATGTAAAGAGATGAAGGCCGGAAGGATAAAGGTGGTGACATGATCAGACAGATGTGTTACAGAACAAAGCTTAATGTCATTTTTTCAAAAATAAAATAGATTTAATAATTTAATTTCATATTTAGGAAAACTATTCTAAATATTAAATCACATGATTAACATTTCAATTATGTAAAACAGTCAAGCAAAGAGATACTCCAGAAACGGAATTTTATACATCTTCAGACCAACATTTCTAGATTTGAACACATGTTGCCCTAGCTGGCTGCCATCGCTCTCATAATGTAAACTTTTAGGTACTGATAAAATAAGATTACCAGTTAATACATGATAAAGGTTAGGCTCCATATGATAAGAATATAAGCATACTGTATAATAATTTCTTTCTAGGCCATAAGATCAAGTCAAATTGATCTTATCTTGGGTAAAGTTTGCTGACAGAAGAATTATATAGATAATGTGGCTAATATGGCTCCTGCTGCATGATATATGTTTAAACCAACAAATATTTGCCGAGCCCTTGTTACGTGCTGATCCCTTGTTAACTATTAATGATTAAGGTGAATGAGATAATCTCTATCCTCAAGAAATAAATATATAATCAGATATATCAACAAATAAATAATATTGCATTCTAAGAACTATCTAGGGTGGGGTGGGGGTAGTACCTAAATCATTGAATGTTTGCTAAATAAACCTAAACCACAGCTGGGGTGACCAAGGAGTGTTATATCAAGCACAGGAAGCAGAAACTGGTAGAGACCCTGTAGGGGGCCATGATCCCATTCCGTAAAACCATTCTGTGTTCTGGAGCTCTGGGCCTAATATGGGAGGAGGAGCCTAGAAGATCTTTAATATGCCTTCCCGACCTTTCTCCCATTGTCTTGATGATTCCTTCTATCAGTGCTAAGTTCCTTAGCAAATGGTAGCTGGACCATGTCCTTGGTTTCTTCTCCCAAACATGATTTTTCACTTTACAAGGCTAGGCTGAGAGTTTTCCAAATCTTTCCACTCTGCTTCTCTTTTCATTATAAATTCAGTTTTTAAGTCATTGAGCTGTGGCGCAAGTGGCCCCAGGTGCAACTTGACCTGCCACTCCAGAAAGAACAAGCCATAAACCTTGGCATTGTCCACATGGTGGTAATTCTGCAGATGCACAGAATGCAAAAGCTGTAGGGGCATGGCTTTCTCCACCTAGATTTCAAAGGATGTCACAGACAGCCTGGAGGCCCAGATAGAGACTTGTTGCAGGGGCAAAGTGCTACAAGGCCAATGCCAAATGGAAATGTGGAGTAGGGGCTGCTTCAAAGAATGTGAGATAAAAATAGCCCCTTTATCAATGAAGATGGACCCTAAGGTTAAGGACAAAGCTACCTATGGATGGAGGGTTCAGGACCCAGCTGGCATGGCAAATTTCTAAATTTCTACAGCTCGAAACTCCATAACTGTAGGAGCTATCAGATTACTCCTAACTCTGATTTAGAGCCCAGACTGTTACAACTCTGATTGGACAGAGGACCAGCCCTACAAACATTCTTTTCTGATAACTGCAGACCTTAAGCCAGTTTCAACCAAACTTCCTTTGTGTCCTATGGCTCACCTTTAACATGAACAGCCAAATTCCATCTCATTTTAATGCTAAAATCCATCCCAAAGTGAACATGGGATGTATGTTACATATATGTTTACTCATTGCACATGTGCTCAGCTCCCCTCATAAATATGTATAGCTTTTCCCCAAAACTTGATGAACATTATGATACTATTGTGTGATACAGGCCCTATGAGGCATAAAACCCATTCGATCCTTCCTCTCTTCAGAGAGCACCTTCGGCACATGCCAGGGACCATCTCTTCCCAGTCTGCAAAGTGGTATCACCAAGAGAGCTCTCATTTCTACTCTTTAGCCATCCTTGTGGATGACAAGAGTCATGCTGGACACCATAACTCATACCATATAGTTCAACAATGTATAGCTAATCACTAACCAATATCATTTTGCAAACTAATGATAATTCCTAACAACCTTGTATTAAGCCATTATTTGTACCCCTCTTTTCCTTTAAAAATCTGTTTGTAACAAAGGCTGAATGAAGTACATCCCAAGGCAAATTGGAAGTGTTTCCCAGGCAGCTGTCCTCACCTTGGCTCAAATAAGCTCTTTAAAATTATATTTGTTGTCTTAGTTTCTTCCTTTAGATCAACAAGACTTACTTGGGACCTATTTACCCTTTCTTCTTTCCTGTTGCTCCCTTTTAGAATGTGAATGTCTATCCTATGCCTGTCTGACCATTGTATTTTGGATGTAGACAATTTATTTTGATTTCACAGACTCACAACTGGAGGAAAATTTGATTCAGAATGAGTTGTGTCTGAAGTCTCGAATGAGACTATGGACTTCTGAGTGACCCCAAATTTCATGCATTTGAAACTTAATACCCAAATTCATATACTGATTGATGGTGGGGCCTTTGGGAGGTAATCAGAATTTGATAAGATTATCAGGCTGGGGTCCTGATGACGAAACGGTGGCTTTAACAGAAGATAAAAGGAGACCTGAGCTGACGCACATTCTCTTGCCCTCTCTCCATGCAATGCCCTCTGGCATGTTATGACACAGCAAGGAGAGCCTCACAAGATGCCTGTGTCATGCTCGTGGACTTCCCAGTCTCCAAAATCATGAGCTAAATAAACTTTTCTTTATAAATTAGTCAATTTATAATACTGTTATAACAACAGAAGATGAAATAAGACATACATAAAAGGGAGATCATGCAATATTTTTCTGCCTGTGTCTGGCTTATTTTACATAGCATGATGTCCTCCAGGTTCACCATGGTAAGATTTTCTTCTTTATAAAAGCTTGGCTAGAATTCCATTGCATATGTGTATATATGTACATGTGTATGTGTGTGTATATATATATCACATTTTCTTTATTCATTTATCAATGGACATTTAGGTTGTTTGCATATCTTGGCAACTGTGCAAATAAACATGGGAGTGCAAATCTCCTTTCAATATACTATTTTCATTTCTTCTGTTTATATACCAAGAAGTGAATGATGAATGTAGCTAGTTCTATTTTTAATTTTTTGAGGAATCTCTACATAGTTTTCTATAATGGGTGTACCAATTTATACAATAGTGTACAAGGGTCTCCCTTTCTCCACATCCTTGTCAATACTTGTTACCTTTTTTCTTTTTGATCATAGACATTCTAGCAGGTATGAGATGATATTTTATTGTGGTTTGATTTGATTTCCCTGATGATTAGTGATGCTAATCACCTTTTTATATGCCTGTCAACTATTTGTATGTCTTCTTTCAAGAAATGTCTATTCAGGTCCTTTCCCCTTTCTGTACCATGTTGAACACCACTGATAAAAAGAAGATATTTGCAGTGCCCCAGAATTATAGAGGAATAATATCTAGAGCTGATTCTATAACTTATGAGTCAATATCTACATGTGGCTACTTAAATTTAAATTAAGTAAAATTAAAAAGTAATTTATTCATAGATAACACAAACAAATGGAAACACATCCCACGCTCATGCATTGGTAGAATAAATATTGTGAAAATGACCATACTGCCAAAAGCAATCTACAAATTCAATGCAATTCCCATCAAAATACCACCATCATTCTTCACAGAACTAGAAAAAACAATCCTAAAATTCATATAGAAACAAAGAAGAACCTGCATAGCCAAAGCAAGACTAAGCAAGAAGAACAAATCAGGGGATCACATTACCCAACTTCAAACTATACTACAATGCCATAGTCACCAAAACAGCATGGTACTGGTATAAAAATAGGTGCATAGACCAATGGAACAAAATGGAGAACCTAGAAATAAAGCCAAATACTTAACAGCCAACTGATCTTCAACAAAGCAAACAAAAACATAAGATAAGGAGATGACACGCTATTCAACAAATGGTGCTGGGATATCTGGCAAGCTACATTTGGAAGAATGAAACTGGATCCTCATCTCTCACCTTATACAAAGATCAACTCAAGATGGATCAAAGACTTAAATCTAAGAACTGAAACCATAAAAATTCTAGAAGATAACCTCAGAAAATCCCTTCTTGACACTGGCTTAGGTAAAGACTTCATGATCAAGAATCCAAAAGCAAATACAACTAAAACAAAGATAAATAGATGGGACTTAAACTAAAAAGCTTTTGCACAACAAAAGAAATAATCAGCAGAGCTAACAGACAATCCACAGAGTAGGAGAAAATCTTCACAATCTATACATCTGACAAAGGACTAATATCCAGATCTACAAAGAACTCAAACAAATCAGCAAGAAAAGAACAAATAATCCCATCAAAAAGTGGGCTAAAGACATGAATAGACAATTCTCAAAAGAAGATATACAGATGGTCAACAAGCATATGGAAAGATGCTAAACATCACTAATTATCAGATAAATGCAAATCAAAACCACAAAAAAGATACTTGCACACGCATGTTTATAGCAGCACAATTTGCAATTGCAAAAACATGGAACCAGCCCAAATGCCCATCAACCAACTAGTGGATAAAGAAAATACAGTACATATGTACCCATGGAATACTACTCAGCCATAAAAAGGAATGAAATAATGGCATTTGCAGCAACCTAAATGGAATTGGAGACTATTATTCTAAGTGAAGTAATTCAGGAATGAAAAACCACACATTCTATGTTCTTACTTATAAGTGGGAGCTAAGCTATGAGGATACAAAGTCATAAGAATGATACATGGGACTTTGGGGACTGGGGGGAAAGGGTGGGAGGGGGATAAAGAATAAAAGACTACACATTGGGTACAGTGTACACTGCTTTGGTGATGGGTGCATCAAAATCTCAGAAATAAAAATAAATTCTAAAAATGCTGAAAAATAATAAAAAGTAATTTCTCCATTTCAGTAGCTATTATGCTCAATAGCTACGTGAGGCTAGTGGTTCTGTACTAGACATATCAGAATAAAATGTTTTCATCATCACAGAAATGTCTATTAGAGAGTTCCAATCTAGAATATATAAGGAATTCCTGCACAACAAGGATTTAAAAAACCAACAGGAAAATGGGAAAAGGATAAGTATAGGCTAACAAGCATAAAAAGTATGCTCAAATATGCTAATAAGAGAAATAAATATTAAAATATTATATCACGGTTATACCTTTAATACTAATAAAATGAATGCTGAGCAATGCCAAATGTTGGTGGAAATGTGAACATATACAGGATGATCACTGCTGGGAGGAGTATAGATTGGTAAAGTCATTCTGGAAAGCAATATAACACTTCTGAGTCAAATTAAATATATGCATTCTCTTTCTGAGTAATTTCATTATTGCTATATATTTTTAAATTATCATAAAGATCCATCCCTGGAACATGTTCTTACATGTATATTGAAGTGTTATTTCAAGATCTATTGTAAAGCTAGAGTGTTAATTCAATTTGGTATTTGCAAAAAAAAAAAAAGATAAACTTATCAATGGAAAAGAATCTGGTAACACACCAACACACATGCAGTCAGTTGATTGCATTTTACTATCATGCAATAGGGAAAAACTTTTCAATAAGTTGTACTGAACAACTGACTATCCATATACATAAATATGAATCTTTACCCCTACCTCACAGCATACTAAAAAATCTATTTTAAATCTAAATGTAAAAGGTAATACCATAAAGCTTTTTTGAAAAAAAAAAAACTCTAGATTACTTTTGTGGTCATAAAATAGTCAAATATTTTTTAGATTGTAGGCAAAAACTAAATAGCTTGGTTTTAAAGTCTGAAGAAATAATTGCTGAGCAGGAAGACAGACTGATAGAAATTATTCAGAACAGAACACAGGAAACAAAGAATTTAAAAAATATATAGAATACAGTTTTAAAGAAGTGAGAATGAGAACATCTAATTTACATCTAAATGAAGTTTTCAAAAGTGAATGGGGCAGAGGAATATTGAAAGATATTGTGGTAAGAATGTTCCAGACTTATGAATGATACCAATACACAGATTCAAGAAAACCAATGAATCTAGAGGATATTTGCAAATATCCAGAATCAATAGAAAAAAAAAAAAAGACAAGAATCCAAATAGGAAGGGAGAGGACAAAAGAAAGGAATAGAAAATTTTCAAAAGCAGCATCTAAATTCCCAATAAGTCAAAGTTTCTTCTAATCTGTAATCTAAGAAATGTTTATAAAAACTACAATGGAAACATAGTCACCACAGTGAGTAGAGGAAACCTGATCCTATAGCCACCATGTCAAATGCAAATGTGAATGAGCTCTAGGTATTGGATGGTAGGAGTGTTATCAATGTTGATTTCTTTATTTCAATTGATGTAGCATCATTATGCAGAAAGCATTATTTACAGGACATACATGCTGAAGTGTTGTGAGATAGTGTAGGTACTTACTCTCAAATGGATAAGGAAAAAAATGTGTGTGCATATATATATATATATATATATATATATATATGTGCATGTATAAATGTGTGTGTGTGTATATATATGTATTTTACATATATACATACAGTAATACACACACATGCATACATTCACGTACAAATTCAAAAAATAAGGCAAATATGGTGAACCAATGAATCTGGGTAAATAAGAGGAATCATTTTATTCTTGCGATACTTCTATAATTTTAAAATTATTTCAAAATAAAGTTTTTAAACTATGTGATTCATTTCGCATCCAAAGTAGTAAACATTTAAATTTCAAAAATTATTAAATGATAGTGAGAATATGGAGAAACGGCAATTTTCATAAACTGCTGGTGTGATTATAATTTCAAAAACGTGTAAAGTAGTCTTGCAGTAACTCACAAAATTGAACATGGACAAACCCTATCCATCTGAACTCAAGATAAACTTTAGCTTGAGTTCTTGAATACATCTTAGACACATTCTTGTACATTTGTACTAAAGGCATATTTTAAAAATATTTTATGATGCCATTATTTGTAGAACACCAAAATCAGAAACAACACAAACGCCCATCAAGCTCAATGGCTAAATTGTGGTATATTCATATAGCAAGGTATTATACAGCAATGAAAATTAATGAGACATAACTACATGCATCAAAGTGGATGAACCTCAAAAACATACTAATGACCGAATAAGCCAGAAGAACTAAATAGGATTCTATTTTATAAGTTTAACAAGATAAAATTTAAAAATGTATTGTTCAGCCATACAAATGTGAGCAGTAAAATCAAATATATACTAGTTATGTAAAGGATATAAATGTTGAAAAACACTCTCTTTTATGTATGTTTTATTTAACAATTTACTAAAAGACTGGACCATATGAGATCACAGCTGAGTTTTATCTAAACTGAGCAGAATTTACTCCAGAAATGTAAGAATAATTCAGATTTAGGAAATCTATCAACATAATTGATTATATCAACAAATGAAAGGTAGAAATAGCATGATCATATTAGTAAGTACTTAAAAGGTATTTAATACTATTCAGCAGCTCTTCATAACAAAAACTCTAAGTAGAATAAAATTAGAAGGAAACTAGTTAAATATAAACTTTAAAAACATGTATTAAAAACCAAGAGCAAATATCCTATATTCTAAAACTAAATCCACTTCAATTTAAATCAGTAACTAGAGTAGTATTCACAATCAATACTATTAATCATTTTCTTGGAAATTTTAACACATGCTATAAGAAAAAATGAAATAAATCTAAAGAATATATTAAAATATTTCTTTTATTTGTGACACTATTTTATAATTAAGATACCAAAAATTCTATTTTAGTAATGGTGATGTGGGGAAGGTATTCTCATACATTGCTCAAAGATATTTCAGCTGTTTTTGAAAGCAATATGATAACATCTATTAAAATTAAACACATTCTTTCACCCAGCAATCTCACTGATAAAAAGCTATCTCAAAGAGTCAAAGTTACTCTATGTAAGGATATATAGGCATGGATGTGTAATGTAAGTATCCTCAATGTGGCAAAAAAAAAAAAAATTAATGATGAGTAGTCACCAATAGAAAAGTTACTGAAAACAAAATTAAAATACATCCACAATTTTAAATAGTATGCATACATTTAAAAGAACAAATAGAACTACATTACCTATCTTAAAAAGATTTTCAAGAGGTAAGCTAAGAAAAGCAAAATGCAAAGAATTATGTATGATCTTATTTTTCTAGAACAAATAACACAAATTTGTAACTTGTATATATGTATTTATAGACGTATAATCACTCAGTCATTGATTTACATGCACATGGAGAAAATCTCTAGTGTTATAATGACCTACCTCAGGGCAAGGGAGGGATTATATCAATGAGGAAAGGAGGAGGAAAGGAAATCCAAGCAAATAAAGGAAATGAAAAAGTACAGGAAAAAACTGCACTTAGGAATGAATGACATAGTCATATTTATCCATTTATGTCAAATAATATACAAGGTATATGCATAATATCATGAATCCTCAAAAAAATGCTATCCTCACGTTAGACACCTGAACTGGCTTTTTCCTTAAGTTTTAAAACATAAAATAGTCATGGAAAGACAAGTAGAAATAAAGCAAGCTTAAATATATAGGACTGAATGCCACTAGATGTCAGTAAAACCACCCCAAAAAAATATAGAAACATTTTCTTAACTGCTGGGAAAATTTGCTCTTTTATCTGCAATCTTTACCTCTTAGTATATTTGACTTGTACAATATTCAAATTCAAATTAGAAGTACAGATTACCAAAAGAGAAATACAGTTCCTTAAAAGTCAGACTATAAGCCTTATTAATAAAGGGAATATTGGTTAATTAATCCCTTAGTAAATAGGGAACCTATAGTCCCTATTTACTAAGATATCCGTAGTGTTTTCACATTATTTTTAAAAGCTCATGAAATACGCCCTTTGAAGAGATGATAAAATTTTAAATTCAATTAATCAATATATATTTATCTCATGTATTATGTATAAAATATGGAGGCAAACTGAAAGAATCATTACATTTATTGAGTTTTTAACCAAGTAGGAGAGAACAAAATGCAAATTAAGCAGAATGTTATAAATAAACCAGTGCAAAGTAATATACAGTGACACATCCACTATCTAGAAACTCAGATACAGTCACATGACTTAGTATCCCAAAACCAAGTAAATAAACAAGGAAGCTTGCTTCTAGGCAGAAAAAAAAATGCATCACAAACTTTTTCACTGAAACTCTTACTTTACTCACTACCAAGTCTCTTCATTCTTACTGTACCAACAGTATCTACTAATGGCTTGCATACATATGTTTCTAGCAGCAATAATCATAATCATAATCACAAACCAAAACTTAGAAATGACTGAAATGTGATATGTTTACTGAATGGAATATTATTCAGCAATAAAAAGGAATGAACTATTGACAGATGCTATGAGATGGATGAATCTCAAAAAAATTTTGTTTAGTGAAAGGAGTCAGACAGAAGAGACCATATACTGTGTGATTCCACTTACATAAAATATTCAGAAAAGAGCAAGCTTTAAAGACAGATATTAGCATTTTCCTGTAGCAGAGGGTAGAGGCAAGACAGTACATAGGGATTAACAGTAATGTGACACAGGAATGACAATGCAGTGATAAAAATGTATTGAAACTTATTTATAGTGATAGTTACATAACTTGATAAAATTTAAATTAGTAATTAACAATTTTCCCACAAAGAAAAGTCCATGTTCAGATTACTTTACTGGTAAATACGATTAAATTTTGAAGAAAGAAATAATACCAACCCTACAAAAATGTTTTCAGTCATTTCCCAACCCATTGGCATCCTGATACGAAATCCAGACAAAGACATGATTTAAAAACCATAAATCTATATACCGGTATTACTTATAAATACAGATGCAAAATTCCTTAACAAAATATTAGCACCAAATTCAGCAAGATATTAACAAGATTATATAGCACATCTAAGTGGGATTTAACCCAGGAATCTAAAATTGATATGACATTCAGACACTCAAAAATCACACACTTCTCTTTTGTCTTCCTGGAAGGATTTCCTAGGATCACCTGACAGACAATTTAAGGGCGGGGAGGGGAAGGGGAAGCCTGTTCCATAAATTGGTCAAATCAACGTCATCTCCAGCCAATATGAACTACTGCTAAACTATAGCTCAATTCAGAAGCATTCATGAAAAACAATGAGAAGAAACTTTTCCTACGGGCAGAACCCACATCCTTTTTGAATGGAAATAAAAGAAACCTGAGGTAGGTTTCAGACTGCCAGACAGACAGTGGCAACTGGCTAAAGTGGTTGGTCAGGGCTCAGGAGGAACAAGTCTGCAAGATTAGAGACAAGAAAATCTGGAGAAGAGGCATTTGAATGGACCAGTGGTAATGGCCACAGAGTATGTAAATCTTTTTTTGATTCATACTAATGCTCATCATAAGGTATCCACCACAGAAAAGATACTCAAAAACCAGGTGACAACCAGGTGACGAGACCACCCATTGGGTGGGTGTTATAGAGCCTCTGTTCTCAGCCATGTCAGTGATGGCAGTGGTGGGCTGTCTGCAGCAGGGAGGTGCGGGAGGTGGTGGTGGCGGCAGAAGTGCCTGTGGGAACAGCAATGGCGGTGGTGGGTCCACTGTGCCCCACGTCCCCAAGGCAGCCAAATGCACTGCCCCCACCCTAGTGCAGCCAGGTAGGACCCACCCCCAGGTCCAGAGCCCCCATGCTCTGGACACTGGCCACCACTGCTATGGGGAGGGTTCAGGCAGGAGGTGGGGCTGGGGCCTTGTTTCGTGGGCCCAGGACGGGAAGTGGGAGCAGTGCCTACCTCAGGGACCCAGTCAGCGGTGCAGTCACCGCAGCCACCCTGTGAGGCTCCTGTGCCTCAGGGGAGGCTCTGCCCAGGACCACCCGGGGCCATGTCCCAGGGGTCCACCCCACATCTGGGTGATTGCTGGGCCTGACACTCCAAACAGCAAGGCAGGCCGCAATCCATTAGAGGAGGCTAATATGGTTTGGCTGCATCCCCACTCAAATCTCATCTTGAATTTCAGTTCCCATAATTCCCACAATTTCACTGGGGGGACCTGGTGGGAGGTAATTGAATCATGGGGTCAGGTATTTCCCATGCTGTTCTCATGATAGTGAATTAAGTCTCATGAGATCTGATGGTTTTATAAAGGGGAGTTCCCCTGCACACACTCTTGCCTGCCACCATGTAAGATGTGACTTTGCTCCTCATTCGCCTTCCGCCATGATTGTGAGGCGTCCCTAGCCATGTGAAACTCTGAGTCAATTAAACCTCTTTCCTTTATAAATTACCCATTCTTGGGTATGTATGCCTTATTGGCAGCATGAGAACAGACTAATAGAGAGGTGCCCCCCTGGGCAGGGCCGTGAGCCTTTACAGGAGGAGCTCTGGGAACCCTTGAGCACTGAGGCCATGGGGGGACCTCGTGGAGATGCTGCCCCTGCCCTGGACACCGGCCTGGCCCAGCGAGGACTTGGAACCTCTACCCCAGGCTGTGAGGGGGTGAAGCTGGGGCTGCGTACTCCACAGAGCCAGTGGGAGCAAGAAGTAAGTAGCAGCCCCACCCTTCCAGGTGCAGCTGCAGCTGCCCACTGCAATGTCAGAGCAAAGTTGGAGCTGAGCCCCCATGCTATCATACCCTGGCCAGGTGTGGGCATGCTCAGGGAAGCACTGACATGCCAGCCTCCTACCACCTCGGCCCCCTCTGGACCTTGGGCGCCAACAAGCACAGGGGGAAAGCTGAGGGAGGGGCTGAGGGTGGCTCAACGCTGGCCTGCAGGTGCCCCTTGGCACAAGCAGCCTCAGTGCCATGGATAGTGGCAGTAGGCAGATGGGCTCCTGGGCAGAAGGAAGGAGGTCCCTGATAAGGCCCCATCTTCAGGCCAGGGAGGGCCTGAAGGCTGGGGGCCAAGCTGCCAGTCCCATGGACTGGAGTAGGGATTTGTGGTGCCTTTTCTGGGCCCACCCATGGCTGCCCATGAACCAATAAGCACGCACTTCCTCCCCTCTGAGTCCTATAAAAGCCCTGAGCTCAGCCAGAGCAGAGCAGAGGATGGACAGCCAATGGGACAACCAGCTGCAGAGTAGCTATCCTCCTTGCTGAGAGCTGCAAACGACGGAACAACCTGCCTGCAGAGAGGAGCCACCCACTCTGGGGCCTACTCTCTGCCAACAGCTGCAGATGATAGGACAACCAGCTACAGAGAGGAGCTACCCTCTCTGCTGATAGCTAAACACTTGGGACAACCAGCTGCAGAAAGCAGCTATCCTCTCTCTTCCGAGAACTGAACACTTGTTGGGATGACCTGCCTACAGAGAGGAGCTACCCACTCTGCTAGGAGCTGAACACTCATTGGGACACCCTGGCTACAGAGAGGAGCTGCCCACTGCAGGGCTTTCCTGAGATGTTCTATTGATCAATAAAGCTCCTCTTCATCTTGCTTACACTCCGCTGCTCTGAGTACCTCATTCTTCCTGGTCACAGGACAAGAACTCAGGACCTGCTGAGTCGCAAGACTGAAAGAGCTGCTGTAATACAAACAGGGCTGAAACATGCCCCTTTTTGCCATGTTGCAGGCAAAAAAAAAAAAAAAAAAGAAGAGAAGAGCTGCGGCCCTTTGGGGAGCCCAGACCTGGGAGCTTCCCAAGCCAGAGCTATGACTCCCTCTTTGTGGCCCTGTGGTTCCTCGTGTCTTCATGTTTCTGGGTACCACTGCATTCCCCAGTGCCAGCCGGGGAAGCTGCTTGCAGTATGCCTGGTCCAGCTGCAGACTTGCGGAGAGCTGGCACCCATGCCGGCACCTAGAGTTGCCTGCCCTGCAGCAGTGGCTGGTGTGTCTGACTGTGCAGTGGCCAGACCCCATGTTTGCTCACACATCCGTCACCACTCCACATCTGACTCCAGTCTCCCTTGGAGCCATGGGATCCAGGCCGGCAGCATGAGCTGAGCAAAGCCTGATGGAAACAAGCCCAGTGGGCCTGAGCAAACCTCAGGCAAAGGTGCCACTGGCCACAGGTTTCCAGCCAGAAAAGTGACACCCCAAAGATCTCATAATATTAGTCTGTGTACAAATGGTCCATGAATAGCAACATGGTGGAAGAGATGGACATTATCAATGAGTGCAGTATGTGGCTGCTTCTCACCAAGTCATAGGTAACAACCCCTATTGCAGATACTTTTGTCAGCAGAAGAGAGCCATGATGAACCCTCACTGTGTTAGCATCTCTCAACAAGAATAACCAGAAACTTGGTGATAAATATGTCACCCTGAATTCATTCTATGCTGGAGACAGTAATGACTATCCTTAACAGAACTGGTACCTACTTTTGAATGTGGGTTAACTTCCTTGGCTTATAGTAAGTCTGTC
The DNA here is from genome assembly GCF_000001405.40 of Homo sapiens. NCBI lineage: Eukaryota > Metazoa > Chordata > Mammalia > Primates > Hominidae > Homo > Homo sapiens. Next base: position 21,160,774 of record NC_000002.12, on the reverse strand, counting down.
AGCCCCACAATGTAAGAACTTACAACTTAGTTACTAACAAAAGATCTCATATAGCATCATCACCTCAGATACAAAGACCCATTTTATGTTAAAGAGATACAACAGGCCGGCGCAGTGGCTCACGCCTATAATCCCAGCACTTTGTGAGGCTGAGGCGGGTGTATCACCTGAGGTCAGGAGTTTGAGACCAGCCTGACCAACATGGAGAAACCTCGTCTCTACTAAAAATACAAAAATTAGCTAGGCATGGTGGTGCATGCCTGTAATCTCAGCTACTCAGGAGGCTGAGACAGGAGAATCACCTGAATCCAGGAGGCGGAGGTTGTGGTGAGTCAAGATCGCACCATTGCACTCCAGCCTGGGCAACAAGAGCGAAACTCTGTCTAAAAAAATAATAAAATAAAAGAGATATAACAAGTGCACAACTGTGGCAACTACTCATCTCACCACATATTGCATTAACTGCCACAGTCTAACACAATGGTAGAATGACCTATTAAAGGTTCAGTGCGTCCTCCAGATAAGCAAAAACACTCTAGGGTCAAAGTACTAAAACAATGGCCAACGTATGGGGTGTTGTACCCAATGGCTGGAACACACAGGGCCTAAACCAAGTGGTATTAAGTAGGAATAGCCCCTCTAACCCTCTCTTTAGTGACTCATCCTCAAAATATTATTTCCATCCCTACAACCTCAGGGTCTACAAGAATATAGGAACTTGTTTCTTGGGTGGAAAGGGTATGATAATTCCACCAAGGGACATAATACAATTTTTCCAAGCCTGAAACTATGATTGCTGCCTAATCTCTTTCATACCTCATGCTGATAAATCAGAAGACAACTAAACTAGTCATAATATTGGCACAGGAGAATTATTTCAAGTATCATGGGGAGCTACACTTGCTACTAAATATGAAGCCAGAGACAACTATGCCTGGAACTCAGAGGATTCACTGATGTCTTTTGGTACTTCCATGCCTGATGACAATAGTGAATAGGCAAGTGTAGCAACCTAATGGGTCCAGAGCAGCCAAAATGCTGGCCAAAGGTACAGGAAACCGAAAATAGTAGAGAAAACAGGAGATGATGAATATAAATTAAAAACTTGAAAACAATTTCAACCAAGGGGAGTCTATTATGTTCCACTAACCCTTCCGGAGACTGTAATTAGTCATCTACTTGAAGAGTTAAAGGACAGATCGGACTTAATGTATTGGCAAGGCAGATGTGAGCAGCTTAAAGAATGGGCTGAAGCAATTGCCACTAGTTCCCTGACAAATGACTTCGGTGTAACTCTAATTTCTGTCATAACAGTGGTATCCCACAAGCCCAGAAACTTTCTAGTGCTGTAATGGCAATTCACCTCAAGCATGAGCAGTGTGTCTTTCCATCTTCTGTCTGAGGACCTTCTCTAACACTACAGAACCTGCTCCAACTCCCATCCTTCAGATGGGCAATTCTGGTATTCATTCTGACACCTTAGAAATTGAGCTCCCATTGCACCTAACAACGACCTCAATAATGCACCCCATGTTAGTTTTCCTCCTCCCGTGTTGTGCTCCCCTGCTGCCTTCTTCCTGCTCCCAAATAAAGTAACTGCATCCAAGATCTTGCCTCAATTTTTTTTTTCTGGGAAATCCACTCTACAAGGTACAAAATTTGTACAGTCAATGACCCAGCAGTTCTAGCAATGGGACCCAGCAATACCCAACAGAAATCATATATATAGTCATAAAATGGTAAACAGTAGTTCCTATATGTATTTGCAATAGATGAAAATTGGAAATAAATGTCATCAAAAGTAGAAATACTTTATAATGAAGTGTTATTCAGAAATGAAAATTAATGAATCACAGCTACACACAAAAACATAGATGTATTTCACATATATAAAAATTTGTGAAAAAAAGACCACATATATATGCCTATCAGAAATTCCATATACAGGCATTACCCCAAAAAAAGGCAACATTATTTTTTTGTTGTTGGTAAGATTCAGTGATAAAAAAAAATTTTAAAGAAAGGAATTACTACAAAAGTCAAAATAGCAGTTCATTTGGAGAGGAGGGCATAAATATTTGAGGCAAAGAAAAAGAGCTCCTGTAGTCTTAGCACTGTTCTATTACTGAACTATGTTGGTGGTTACACAGGTGTACGATCTAAAATAAACCCTCAAAATGTGTATTTTTGTGTTTTCCACTTTGTTACATTCTTAAACAGTTAATGTAAAAAATATGTTACACATCAACATTATTACACATCTAATAATAATATTATGAATAGAAGGCTGAGGATACTGTCAAAGGAATGGCTATTTTCCCCTTCCCAGGCCTGTTCTTTTGGTTTGTTTGTTTTCTTTGAGGTTTTAGATCTTATTCCATTTAGTTAATTTCAAAATCCCTCTATTAGATAATTTTTCATTACATTCTTCTTTTCATCTTTAGTCTTAGGTGAATTCATAGTATAATACATGTAATTTTTAATAACCCCTTTACTGTCATTCACCTGCCATAAAATTCACCCTTTAAGAGTACACAATTCATTGATTTTCAGTATATTCACAAAGTTGATAAACTACCAAAATTATTTAACTTGAGAATATTTTCACTGCCCCAAAGAGAAACCTCACACTCATTAATAGTCACTTCCCATCCTCATCTCCCCACAGGCATTGGCAACCACTAATCAATCTGCTTTCTAAGAATTTGCCTAATTTGAACATTTCATCTAAATCTAATCATTCAATATGTGACCTTTTGTAACTAGCTTCTTTTACTTAGCATCAGGTTTTAGAGATTCATTCATGGCATAGCATGTACAAAGGGACTTCAAAAGGTTTATGGGAAAATTGGATTAAAATGACAAATAAAAATATGTAACTTCACTTCTCGATGTAAGCTCCATCCAGTTCAAGGTACTTTTGCAAGCAATGATACCAGACATTTCGTCCATCCCTAAAGAACTGGGGGTGCTTGGAATTTAACCACATCAATGCAGTCATTTTTACTGCATCAAATGCAGTTATCCATTTATTAACTGAAGAAAAATGGGTGCCCATTAAAGATTTTTTTTAGATTACAAAACAAGAAGTCAGAAGGAGACAAACCACGACAGTAAGGTGGATGAATGACTGCACACTGAAAGTCTTTCAGAATTGCTTTTGCTTGACAAGAGGAATGAGCAGAAGCATTGTTAGGGTGGAGAAGGACTCTCTGGTAAAGCTCTCCTGGGCATTTTTCTGCTAAAGCTTCGGCTAACATTCTCAAAACATTCTCATAGTAAGTAAGCAGATGTCATTATCCTTTGGCCTGCCAGAAAATAAAATAAAATAAAATTCCCTTAGATCCCAAAAATCTGTTATCATGACCTTTGCCCTTGATTGGTCCGATTTGCCTTGACCGGACCACTTCCACTCTTGGTAGCCATTGCTTTAATTGTGTTTTGTCACAGGGTCATACTTGTAAACCCATGTTTCAATTCTTCGAATAACTGTTTCAGGATCTTGAGCCCAGTTGTTTAAAATTTCCATTGAAAGCTCAGCTTTTGTCTTCAGCTGATTTGTGTGCAATGGGTTTGGGACCCATCAAGTGGAAAGTTACCCCAACTTTAATTTTTCAGTCAGAATTGTGTACGTTGAACCAGTCGAAATGTCTATAGCTGTGGCTACTATCTGTGCCATTAATCATGGGTCCTCTTCAATTAAGTCATGAACAAGAGTAACTTTTTCCTTGCAAATTGATGTGGAGATCTGCTGCTGCAGTTTTCATGTTCAACATCATCTCATTCCTTCTTAAAAAGAGTTATCCATTTATAAACTGCTGATTTCTATAAAGCATTGTCCCCATAAACTTTTCATAAAGGATCAATGATTTTGCCATTCTTCCACCCAAGCGTCATCACAAATTTGATGTTTACTCTTGCTTCAATTTTAGCAGAATGCATCTTGTTCTGCTTTTCAAACTGATGTCTTATCTTTTGTAGTGCCTCAAACTAGATCCTGTTCAGATATATAATATCAAGTTAATACTAGTTTATTTTGGTGTAAAAAATTTTTTTGAAATCCATGCATAGATTTTTCATAATATGCATTTTCTATGAATTTTTGAAGACTCCCTGAACCGATTTTTGTTTCTTTTGCTGAATAATATCCCATTGCATGAATATATCAACTTTGTTTATAAACTCTTCCATTAAGGGACATTTGATTTGATTCTATTTTTGGCTATTCTGAATATGCTACCATAAAATTTTGTGCACAATTTTTTGTGTAGATATATTTTTTAAATTAAGTGTATACCCAGGAAATGCAATTGCTGGGTCATGTATCAACTCAATCTTAATTAACATTTTGAGGAACTATCAAACTGTGTTCCAAAGTAGATGCATGATTTTACAATCCCACTAGCAATGTATGAAAGTTCCAATTTCTCTGCATCCACATCAGTACTTGTTATCTATAACTTTTTTTTGCCAATCCACTGGATATCAAGTGCTATTTAGTTGTGTTTTTGCATTTCTGTAGTTGCTAGTGATGGTGAGCACCTTTTCATGGGTTTACTGTGTATTTTCTTGAGAGAAGCTGCTATACAAAACCTTTCCCCATTTTTAAAATGGGTTGTCTTTTTAACTGTTGAGTTCTAAAGGTTCACTATATATTGTAGATACTAGTTAATTATTATATAGTTTGCAAATATTTTCCCCATTCTGTAGGTAGTCTTTTCACTTTCTTGATGGTGTCCTTTGAAACAAAACTTTTGAACTTTGAGAAGTCCAGTTTTGTCACTTGTGATTTTAGTCATATCTAAGAAATCAATGCCTAATCCACAGAGGTAAACAAGTGCTAGAATGCAGCTCCTGATACCCAAAGCGCTTAAACCTGTGTTTCAAAAGTACAAATGTAAATACAAGCAAAGTAGTAAACTGAATGATAATCAAGCAGGGTAAAAAGTTTGATCAGACACTCTTGCATAACTCCTGATTCCAAAAGTGATATCCCAGTGACTGAAATAAAAAGCAACCTACTGCGAGACAAAATGGCTTATTTACATGTTTCAGCATTTTGACTTTAAGTAAAACTAAAAAAAAAACAAAAACAAACAAACAAAAAAAAACTTTCTGAAGCTTTCCTAACCTTAAGCATTGGCAGCTCGAATTTATACTACCTGAACACAAGAAAAACCTCTAAGCCAGGGGTTGGGTCTGAAAGTGCCCTCAAGGCACTTGGCAAAAGAACCTGCAAATTCCAATTGCAGGAAGTACTTTAAACACAGGTCTTAAAGAATTTCCACAGTTAAAGTATCAAGAAACACAAGTTAACAATAAAATCATAAAACATATGGGTAAATAAGGTATAATAACTAAAAAATAATTCACAGAATTATTAAACTGCAAATATGTATCTACAATGAGTGTATATACCGCTATTATAAAATACATGTATAAACTAAGTATTCTTAATATGTTAAATAAAACAAGACACTGAAATTGGGACAGAACAGAAGAGAATAAAAATGAGCAAGCAAATATGAAAATAAAAGGAATAGTACTTCTAGAGTGGAAAACTATAATTAAAATTAGTAACTCAAAATAAACTGCAAATTAAATACTACTGAAGAGTTAACTTGGGAGACAGGGTAAGGAGATTACCCAGAATGCAATGCAGAGAGACTAATATATGGAAAATATGTTGAGTCATAGTATAATAATAATAATAATAATTCACATGTATCAAAACAGCTGTACAAAGAAAAATATAATAGGCAAGAATCCACAAAGATATAACAGCTAAGAATATCCCAGAATGGACAAAAAGACCAATCTTTAGATTCAGGAATTTCAGAGTCTCAAGCAGGATAAACATAATTAACAACATTAATAAATAATGTGTTAGGTGTGAAACACCAAATACAACGTGAAGATGTACAGGACCAGGAAGGAAAAGTCTACTCATAAGGAAAATGAATTATTGCTAAGCAGACAGGAGACTTCTCAGGATCAAAAGTGGAAGTCAAAACAGCATGGAACCACATTTTCCAATGCTGAGGGAAAATAACTCTGCATTTCTAATTGTGTATCTATTGCAACTATTATTCAAATATACAGATGAAATAATATTTTCAAACAAAAGTAGTGTGTTTGTAATGTGTCAACTTTGCTTGGCTGTACTACACCTTCTATAATTTCTTTTCTTAGGTGTTTGCCTAAGTTCCCTAGAAAATTGTACCACTTATCTTTCAAGAGTCAGGCTCACAGGTCATATTTTTGAGACTCCTTTTCAACTGTTTCCTCAATCCTAGGAAGTTTGGCACACTGTCCTCCATCCAGAACACCTATTATATACCTTTGCTACATATCAAAGTACACCTTAATATAACTGATTATTTGTTTCCACCACTGTACTGGGAATATCTTAGAACTGGAATTTCACTTACTCATTTTTGTATCTCCAATATTTAATATGGTCACTTCTGAAATGTTTGATGAATGAATGCACCTTAGAAGAGAATGTGACAAGATTATAAAAGAGGATAATTTGGTAGGAAGGAGAAGATATCAGTATGTGTAAAGACATAAAAACAGAAATAAACACTGTGCTAAGGAAAAACAATATGAATAGTATTGAGAAAAGAAAATAAATTGAAGATATTACCTAGATTTCACACTGAACTGTTAATGTATTATATAGCCAAAGGGGAACCACTATTCTAATCTTACATATTCTTAAGTTCCATTATAAAATCCATACTGAAAAAAATCATTCTAAAAGTTATATATAGGAAAAAAATTAAATTTAATATTGGAGATTTCTGAAAAAGATTGAGATAATTATTATACAAACTACAGACCAAATAAATTTTTAAAAGGGATGCATGAAAATAATCCAATGTTCCTTTAAAGGTGAAAGGATACCTTCTTTTGCTGTGCAAAAACTCTTTAGTTTAATTAGAGCCCATATGTCAATTTTTGCTTCTGTTGCAATTGCTTTTGGTGATTTCATCATGAAATCTTTACCCGTGCCTATGTCCTGAATGGTATTGCCTAGATTTTCTACTAGGGTTTTTATAATTTTAGGTTTTACATTTAAGTCTTTAATCCATCTTGAGTTAATTTTTGTATAAGGTGTAAGGTAGGGGTCCAGTTTCAATTTTCTGCATATGGCTAGCCAGTTCTCCCAGTACCACTTACTAAAGAATCTTTTCCTCATTGCTTTTGTCAGGTTTGTCGAAGATCAGATGGTTGTAGATGCGCAGTCTTATTTCTGAGTTCTCTATTCTTTTTCCATTGGTCTGTGTGTCCATTTTTGTACCAGTACCATGCTGTTTTGATTACTGTAGCCTTTTTGTATAGTTTGAAGTCTGGTAGTGTGATGCCTCCAGCTTTGTTCTTTTTGCTTAGGATTGTCTTGGCTATAAGAACTCTTTTCTCATTCCATGTGAATTTTAAAATAGTTTATTCTAAATCTGTGAAGAATGTCAATGGTAGTTTAATGGAAATAGCATTTAATCTATAATGCTACATACTTTGGGCAGTATGGCCATTTTCATGATATTGATTCTTCCTATCCATGTGCATGGATTGTTTTTCCATTTGTTTGTGTCCTCTCTGATTTCCTTGAGCAGTGGTTTGTAGTTCTCTTTGAAGAGGTCCTTCACTTCCCTTGTTAGCTGTATTCCTAGGTATTTTATTCTCTTTGTAGCAATTGTGAATTGGAGTTCATTCATGATTTGGCTCTCTGCTTACCTTATAGGAATGCTTGCGACTTTTGCACATTGATTTTGTATCCTCAGACTTTGCTGAAGTTGCTTATCAGCTTAAGAAGCTTTTGGGCTGAGCCAATGGGTTTTTCTAGATATAGGATCATGTCATCTGCAAAAAAAGACAATTTGACTTCCTCTCTTCCTATTTGAATACCTTTCATTTCTTTCTCTGTTCTAATTGCCCTGGCTAGAACTTCCAATGTCATGTTGAATAGGAGTCATGAGAGAGGGCATCCTCGTCTTCTGCCAGTTTTCAAGGGGAATGCTTCTAGCTCTTGCCCATTCAGTATATTGGCTGTGGGCTTGTCATAAATGGCTCTTATCAATTTGAGGTATGTTCCTTCAATACCTAGTTTATTGAGAGTTTTTAATAACATGAAGGGATGCTGAATTTTATTGAAGGCCTTTTCTGCATCTATTGGGATAATCACGTGGTTTTTGTCTTTAGATCTGGTTATGTGATGAATTATGTTTATTGATTTGTGTATGTTGAACCAGCCTTGATTCCCAGGATTGAAGCCAATTTGATCATGGTGGATAAGCCTTCTGATGTGCTGCTGTGTTCAGTTTGCCAGTATTTTATTGAGAATTTTTGCATCAGTGTTCAGAGGGATACTGACATAAAGAAACTATCATCAGAGTGAACAGGCAACCTACAGAATTGGAGAAAATTTTTGGAATTTATCTATCTGACAAAGGTCTAACAGCCAGAATCTATAAGGAACTTAAATATTCAAGAAAAAAACAAACAACCCCATTAAAAAGTGGAAAAAGGACATGAACAGACACTTAATCAAAAAAAGACATTCACAGGTGGGCGCAGTGGCTCACGCCTGTAATCCCAGCACTTTGGGAGGCCAAGGCGGGTGGATCACAAGGTCAGGAGACTGAGACCATCCTGGCTAACATGGTGAAACCCTGTCTCTACTAAAAATACAAAAAATTAGCCGGGCGAGGTGGCAGGTGCCTGTAGTCCCAGCTACTCAGGAGGCTGAGGCAGGAGAACGGTGTGAACCCAAGAGGCAGAGCTTGCAGTGAGCCGAGATCGCGTCACTGCACTCCAGCCTGGGCGACACAGCACTCCAGCCTGGGCGACACAGCGAGACTCAGTCTCAAAAAAAAAAAAAAAAAGGCATTCATGCAGCCAACGAACATATGAAAAAAAGCTCAACATCACTAATGATTAGAAATGCAAATCAAAACCACAATGAGATACTGTCTCACACCAGTCAGAATGATGATTATTAAAAAGTCAAGAAACAACAAATGCTGGTGAGTTTGCAGATAAATAGGAACACTTTTACACTGTTCCTGGGAATGTCAATTAGTTCCACCATTGTGGAAGAGAGTGCAGCGATTCCTTAAAGATCTAGAACCAGAAATACCACCTGACCCAGCAATCCCATTACTGGGCACATACCCAAAGGAATATAAATCATTATATTACAAAGATACATGCATGCATATGTTCACTGCGGCACTATTCACATTAGCAAAGACATGGAATCAACCCAAATGCCCATCAATGATAGACTGGATAAATAAAATGTGGTACATATACACCATGGAATACTATGCAGCCATAAAGAAGGAATGACATCATGTCCTTTGTAGGGACATGGATGGAGCTGGAAGCCATTATCCTCAGCAAACTAAGGCAGGAACAGAAAAACAAACACTACATGTCCTCACTTATACGTGGGAGCTGACCAATGAGAACACATGGACACAGGGAGGGGAACAAATACATGGGGTCCTGTTGGGGGGTGGGGTGGGGGAAGGGAGGGCATTGGGAAAAATAGCTAATGCATGCTGGGGCTTAATACCTAGGTAATGGGTTGATAGGGGCAGCAAACCACCATGGCACATGTTTACCTATGTAACGAAAGTGCACATCCTGCACATGTACCCTGGAACATATAATTAAAATTAAAAATAAACAAAAGTGAAAGAATAAAGAAAGAACAAAAAAGAACTCATATGTTTTGGGAACAGAAAAAATGTGTAATGATTATCTTTGGTCAAGAAAAATTTTAAAGTGAATTCAGTATTTCATCACAAGAAATTCATATTATAATATCAAAAACACATACATAATTTCAGACTTTAGGAATATACACTTACTGAGGAAAAAATTTTAACTCAAAATAATCAATATACAAAACCAAAAAAAAGGTCCCTTGGATATACACAAATAATAGCAACAATATCACAACTGCTTAAAAAGTGATATTAGAATTCAATATTCCTCTAAAAATCAAAAAAGTTAAGCTGATATTAAGATACACAGATTTAAAAAGTAAAAACAAAAAAAGTTCAGAGCCTCTGAAATTTAACCTACTCAGGCGCTCATGGAGAAGATTTAAAATCACAATAATTATGCTACCAAAATACAAATATCTGAATAATTTGTCTTTATTTAACAGTTTTTGACCTGAGTGTTTTATTTCACATCAATATACAGCCTTGAAAATGTATATGTGAATGTTATTTTTAAAAATATCAATAATCTTAACCAGTTTACTAACGAATCACTTTTTTTCTAAGTTGAAAGCCATTTTACATTAGATTGAAAGCTCATTCTTTATATAGAATAAAATTAGGAAGGAAAAAATTTAAAAGATTTAACAATCCTAAGCTTTGAAATATTTTATGTAGTAACTTAAATGTTCTACTGTTCTCCAAATTTTTAAAGAAAAATCTGTTGCCAACATTTATAAAATAACAGATCTTACTAACTTAAATTAACACAAATGTTTTAGGGTAGAAAAAAAGCATTATTCCAATGTTGACTATAACCTATAAAATAAAACTTAATCCTAAGAAAATATAAATACTAAGATAAAAACACTACTTTTTGTTTTTATTTGAAAGTACTCTGAATAAAACTACACTATTACTACACATCTAGTTATAATTATACAGTATAATAAAATAACAGGCTGAAAAATAATACTTTCAAAATAAAAAATAAAACAAAAAAGCTAGTTTTAAATTATAAACTATCTTAAAAGAAGGCAACCTAGTTTCAAACATATCTTCAGCTATTTTCTTTATTGGTCTTCTGTCCAAATAGGAAAAATATCAATTAAAATTAAGTGAAATGGCCGGGCACGGTGTGGCTCACGCCTGTAATCCCAGCACTTTGGGAGGCCGAGGCGGGCAGATCACAAGGTCAGGAGTTCGAGATCAGCCTGGCCAATATGGTGAAACTCCGTCTCTACTAAAAATACAAAAATTAGCCGGGCATGGTGGTGGGTGCCTGTAGTCCCAGCTACTCGGGAGGCTGAGGCAGGAGAATATCTTGAAACCAGGAGGAGGAGGTTGCAGTGAGCCGAGATCACGCCACTGCACTCCAGCCTGGGCGACAGAGTGAGACACCATCTCAAAAAAAAAAAAAAACATTTTAACTGAAATGTAGACTTGTCAAAATATCTTTTTCTGCAGGATTTAATAATTTAAATGCTGCAAATAAATTTTCTAGTTTGTATATTTTTATCATTTCCAAATATAAAATATTATACATTAAGACATAACTGAAGTTAAGGGAACTCTGAAAACTAAAGGCAAATGATTGGTCCTTCCTGATTAAATTGGTGCCCCCCTCCAAAAAAAAAAAGGCATCATAATGCCTTTTCTTTGACATTCAAACTAATTTTCTTTTTAATAAACCAAAATCATTAACTTTGCCATATTTTATGGTGACTAAACAACAAAAGCACCCCGGTGATACAACAGCTATAGAAGTTCTGTAAAATGTGGAGCCCCGGCCCAGTGGCTCATGCCTGTAATCCCAGCACTTTGGGAGGCCGAGGTGGGTGAATCACCTTAGGTCAGGAGTTCAAGACCAGCCTGACCAACACGGTGAAACCCCGTCTCTCCTAAAAATACAAAATTAGCCAAGCACCATTACACTCCAGCCTGGGTGACAGAGCAAGACTTTGTCAAAAAAAAAAAAAGAAGAAGTTGTTGTGTAAAATGAATTCTTTTCCAAAGGAGATATTCTTCATAATTGTGGAAATAATCTTCAAGATCTGGCAGGGCTTAGGGGAGAGGGAATGACACAAAAGTGTTCAGAGAGTTTAGGTTACAAAAAGTAAATGTTACATTGTTTGTTCTCAAATAACCACAAACTAGAGATGAACTTGTTTGAAAAAATACATACATAAAGTTTCCAACTCTTAAGTAAACTTTAACTTTCAGGATACCAAATTCAAACTTACAGTGTTTCTGGAAATTATTTCCCAACATCAAAGAAATGACAATATCAACATGCTCAATACAGACATACAGATATTAACACACTTGATTGTCCCTAGCTTGCTTAGGAATTTTCTAAATTTTTGCAAATATTCTTTAAACCACCCCATATCAAGTTCTTCAGAATTGTTTGGCTTACTCTAACTCTTCAGTGCACTTGTATAATTTTATGGTTCTATCTTTGCATCAAAATAATACCCTGAACTTGCTCAATTAATATTTACTTGCAAAATAAATTCCAATTCAATAGTAAATGCATGACAAAATATTGATTCCCCTTCCCTGCTGGACGTACTGTTCTTGAATATCACAAATATCTCCAAGTAGCTAATAACCTAATAACCAAAAATATAAAACCCAACTAAAATTAAATATTGCTAAAAATAAAATGATAGAAAATTATCATATTATGAGCTAAACACAAGGAAAGAAGAGATTATGTCTGATTTTTCCTCTATTTCCTTTTAATAAATGCCACTCTTACAAGCACTTCTATTTTCCAGGGAAATGGTAGCACTAACTCTCTATATACTAACCACAGTTGCAATTATAACTCAACAAAGTAGGAACTGAAACAAAGGACAGGGAAGACATGTGAAAAGTATCAGAAGGTAAAATGGTATTTATTGCCTTTGAAACCACATACAAAGAAGAAGAGTTCATCAAATAAAATATTTTCAAGCCATCTCACACTGGTGAACCACATTTACTAAGTAATAATCTTTTTAAAATCAACGCATCATGTCCTAGGTCACAGAAAATTTCTACAGCAATCTAACAATCTAACATGGTCTCCTGGGGAAAAAAATCTGAAAAATCTAGATTCATTTAACATGATTTAACATTGGAAGTTGTCGTACTATGCTTAACACCTTTACTCCAGCTCTACAGTGTCTAAACCAAGATAGTAATTACTGGGTATCCTATATATCATTTGTTACCAAACTAATGCATAAGTGATCTGTGCTTCCATTTTCTTCTACTGAAAAACAAAAAATCATGAGTATATTGTAATATAATCTTCAAAGCATTATGGGTCTCATTAAGAGTTACTCAAGACTTATTCATTTAAAAATTATTATAAACTATAAACTTTTACTTAACAATTCATTTTACTTAACAATTTCTAAGTCACAGTATAAAAGGTAAACAAGGAAAAATACTGAGAGTAAACAAGTTATATATATACTATGTTATACATCATATGTATATATGTTATACATATACATACAGTATGTATAACATATAGTATATGTATAACATATAGTATATATAACATATAGTATATGTATAACATATACTATAATTATATAACATGTTATATATATATAATTCTATGTGACAACTAAAAACATCTTGTTCATTTAGCAATATATGTCCACAATGGAAAAAATATATATAACCTATTCTATTCTTTATCTGGAACTATAATTGTCTCTTACTCATAAATCGTCTCTTACTCATAAATCCTATCTTCAGAATAGAAATTTAATGATGAATGTAACCATTATACTAATACTAAATACATCTGTGTGTATTCACCTTAAATATAGTTCAGTTTCTTGCTTAGCAGCACCAAAAATTATTTTAACTTATGATTTCACAAAAATACTTTCAAAACAAATATAGTTTTATCAGGATGATTATATTTCTAACAGTTAGTGAGCATTTATTATGTACCAGGCAACACTGAAATGCTTTACATGTTTTAATTTATCTTCACAACCACCCAAAGGGGTAGTTACTATTATGATCTCCATTTTACACAAGAAGAAACTGAGGCACAGAAGAGTTTAAAAGCTTACCCATGGTTTTATCACTAATAAGGGACAAAGCAAATATTCACACTCAGGGAGTTAGCCTCAGTGCCCATATTTTTAATAACCATCCAATGCAAGCGAGTCATAAATCTGTATGACTCAATAGTGTTGTGTTCTCAAGACGCAGTCTGACATTTCACATGTCTATCAGCCATTCTCCTCTGGATGTCTAGATGTTACTTCATATTTAAAATATTAAAAACTCCTCTTTAAAAATGGGCTGTCATTCTAGATTTCTTTCAAAGATGACTTCCAGTTAAATAAGCAACTGTAGAAGAATAGGCACATATTACCATTAAGCACTGCCTCATTAGCAAAGAATGAACAGATATTTCTTGTGCTTTTTTGAATGGGTTATTACATTCTCTAGTTCTCATAATCTATACAAGGACTGTCAGGCAAAAACAAGCATGTGGGCAAGCAAACATGATTTTAAAAAACAAAAACAAATGAGAAAACACCCTGGAAAAAGACTAACAAGTTTGTTCTGGAGAAAATAGTCTACAGATAAAAACAATTACCTTGAATATCTAAACACTGATGTTAAAATAGGCTGAAACTATGGGAAAGTTAAGCCAATTTTCTAAATGTAAAGGGTGGCAACTTCTGCATTTAGAACAATACCTGGGCAAGATAAAGTAAACGTAATATACATCTAGGCCATTTCTAACATGATAATATTTTTACTATTTACTCTGAATTAAGTTTAGCTCAAAATTACTGTGACTCATCAGGTATAGTCTGGACTTCAAATACAGGAAGAATAGATTCTAAGAGTTTTTACACAGAAAGCCTAAAATTATTTTTTCTCACAAAAT